>NC_000005.10:99806776-100109807 GCF_000001405.40 Homo sapiens | reverse complement strand
CAGGGGAAGCAAACATGTCCTGCTTCACATGATGGCAAGAAGGAGAAGTGCTGAGCAGAGAGGGAAAAGTCTCTTATAAAACCATCAGATCTCAGGAGAACTCACTCACTATCATAAGAACAGCAGCAAGGAGGTAACTGCCCTGATGATTCAATTACCTCCCACTGGGACCCTACCATGACACATGGGTATTATAACAACTACAATTCAAGATAAGATTTGCATAGGGACAGAACCAAACCATATCATTCCACCCCGATCCCTCCCAAATCTCATTTCCACACATTTCAAAACACAATCATGCCTTCCCAACAGTCACCCAAAGTCTTAACTCATTCCAGCATTAACCCCAAAGTCCAAGTCCAAAGTCTCATCTGAGAAAAGGGAAGTCCCTTCTGCCTATGAGGCTTTAAAACCACAAGCAAGTTAGTTACTTCCTAGATGCAATGGGGATACAAGAATTTGATAAGTACACTCATTCCAAATGGGAGAAATGGGCTAAAACAAAGAGGCTAAAGGCTTCATGCAAGCCTGAAATCCAGCAGGGAAGTCAAATCTTAAAGCTCCAAAAGGATGTCTTTTGACTCCATGTCTCATATCCAGGACAAGTTGATGCAAGAGGTAGGCTCCCATAGCTTTGGGCAGCTCCACCTCTGTGGCTTTGCAAGGTACAGTCCCCCTCCCAGCTGTCTTCATGGGCTGGCATTGAGTGTTTGTGACTTTTCCAGATGCATGGTGCAAGCTGTCAGTGGATATATCATTCTGGGGTCTGGAGGATGTTGGCCGTCTTCTCAGCGCTCCATCAGGCAGTGCTAAAGTGGGTACTCTGTGTGGGGGCTCCAACCCCACATTTCTCTTCTGCACTGCCCTAGCAGAGATTCTCCGTGAGGGCTCCACCCCTGCAGCAAATTTCTGCCTGGACATCCAGGCATTTTCAGACATCTTCTGAATTTTAGGTGGAGGTCCTCATGCCTCAATTGCTGACTTCTGTGCACCCACAAGCTCAACACCACTTGGAAGCTGCCAAGGCTTGGGGCTTGCAGCCTCTGAAGCCATGGCTCAGGCAGTACCTGAGCTCCTTTTAGCCATGTCTGGGATGTGGGCACCAAGTCATGAGACTGCACAAAGTAGCAGTGCCCTGGGGCTGGCCTCCTAGGCCTTCAGGCTTGTGATAGGAGGGGCTGCTATGAAGACCTCTGACATGAGCTGGAGACATCTTCCTAATTGCCTTGGTGATTAACATTTGGTTCCTCATTATGTACGCAAATTTCTGTAGCTGGATTGCATTTCTCCTCAGAAAATATATTTTTCTTTTCTATCACATTATCAGGCTGCAAATTTTCTGCACTTTTATGCTCTGCTTTCCTGTTAAACATAAGTTCCAATTCCAAACCATATCTTTCTGAATAAATAAAACTGAATGCTTTTAACAGCACCCAAGTCACCTCTTGAAGCTTTGCTGCTTAGAAACAGATACCCTAAGTCATCTCTCTCAAGCTCAAAGTTCCACAGATCTCTAGGGAAGAGGCAAAATGCCACCAGTTTCTTTGCTAAAACATAGCAAAAGTCACCTTTACTTCAGTTCTCAACAAGTTCCTCACCCACATCTGAGACCACCTCAGCTTGAACTTCATTGTCCACGTAGCTATCAGCATTTTGGTCAAAGCTACTCAACAAGTCTCTAGGAAGGTCCAAACTTTCCCACATCTTTTCCCCACATTTTCCTGTCTTCTTCGGAGCCCTCCAAATGGTTTCAACCTCTGCCCATTAGCCAGTTCCAAAGTTGCTTCCACATTTTCAGGTATATTTACAGCAGCACCCCACTACCCAGTACAAATATACAGTATTATTTCATTCTCATGCTGCTACAGAAAAACTTCCTGAGACTTGATAATTTATAAAGAAAAGAGGTTTGACTGACTCACAGTTCCACATAGCTGGGGAGGCCCCAGGAAACTTAGAATCATGGCAGAAGGGGATGCAAACACATCCTTCTTCACATGACGGCAGAAAGGAGAAGTGCCAATCAAAGTGGGCAAAACCCCTTATTAAACCATCAGATCTTGTGAGAATTCATTCACTATCATGAGAACAGTAGCATGGGGTAAACACCCCAATGATTCAATTACCTTACATTGGGTCCCTCTCATTACACATAGGGATTATACGAACTACACGATTGATGCTGTGATTTGGGTGGGGACACAGCCAAACCACATCAAGAAATATGCATCATTTCTGCTAATATTCCACTGGCCACATTGCATCAAAATGGCCCCAATAAACTGCATGAGAAGCTGGAAAATGTAGTCATCTACTCTTCTCATAAAAAGGAAGTAGGCTTCGTGAATATGTAGCTAGGCTCTTTCATTCAAGAAAACATATATAGAACAACTATTGGTGGTAGCTAAATAGAAATGACAATTTATTTTGTTACTAGAAAGCAAGCCAAATAACACAGAGATTAGAAAAATAAATAGGTTGCTCTGATTTTGCAGGAAAAAATCAATGAAGGCTATATAGCAGGACAGTCAGGAAAGAAAAATTGACTTAAATTTTTATTTGAATTTAATTAAAGCTTGAATCAATAAATGGAGTGAAATCTAAGGGAGAAATGTCTTTACCAGTAAAAAGGTTCTCAGTATAACTGACTTTAGACAAATATATTCTTATAATGACCTAATTCCCAAATTTTCATAGCACTGCAATGATATGTTAAGTTATTTTATTATTTTTTTTTGAGATGGAGTCTCACTCTGTCACCCAGGCTGGAGTGTAATGGTGTGGTCTTGGCTCACTGCAACCTCCACCTCCTGGGTTCAAGTGATTCTCCTGCCTCAGCCTCATGAGTAGCTGGGACTACATGCACATGCCACCACACCTGGATAACTTTTGTATTTTTAGTAAGGATGGGGTTTCACTATGTTGTCCAGGCTGGTCTCGAATTCATGACCTCATGATTCGCCTGCCTTGGCCTCTGAAAATGCCGGGATTACAGGTATGAGCCACCGTTTAATGTTATTTTTCAACTTTATGGATGCTACAATAAATTTAAATGTTTGCTGTTTTATTTAAATAATGTCCACCAAGTGCCTACTATGTACCAAGCAAAAAACAAGATAGTCATTGAAGACAAAAATGATGAGGCCCTTGCCCTCAAGAGTTTAAAATTCAATGTGATATCAACACAGATGTATTTTTTAAGGAATATATTATGGTAATTACTTAAATGAAAGTATAGAAAAAATGCAGTGGCCACATTAGGAAAGGAACACTTAGATTAAGAGATAGTAATATGTGATATTTAAAAACATAAAAATAAAAATGATGAGGCCCTTGCCCTCAAGAGTTTAAAATTCAATGTGATATCAACACAGATATATTTTTAAAGGAATATATTATGGTAATCACTTAAATGAAAGTATAGAAAAAATGCAATGGCCACATTAGGAAAGGAACACTTAAATTAAGATACAGTAATGTGTGATATTTAAAAACATGAGTTTTAGAATCCTGTACACCGAGAGACAATTCTTTATTCTGCTACTTACTTGGCTGTGTGATCTTGTACAAGGTGCTTAACCTCTCAGGGCTTTAGTTCCCTCATCTATAAGTGGGAAAAATGACTACACCAGTAATATTGTGAATGTTTATTTAAACAATGTGTTTCATAAATGTCAGGCACAATTTATAAAGCCCTACCTGGAAAAATCAGGAAAGAATTTAAAGGGTCTGTTGAACTGAGCTTTAAAGTTTGAATAGAAACATTCCAGCCAGCTAAGTGTAGAATAATATCTAAGAAGAAGAGAATTACATGCAAGGGAAAAAGATAGGCAATTTTAGGGTGAATTTGCATATTCAAAAGTGGTTTATATGGATGGATTCAAAATACAAGCAATTACTACATAGCCATGAAACCAGATACATAGGTTGGGTCCAAATTATAAAAGCCCACCTGTCACATTCGGACTATGGAAGGGAGGTGGTCACTGAAAATTTTTGATCAGTTAGAGGAATATGTTTATATTGGTACATCAAAATTATCACTTTTGAAACGATATTAAAAATAGAAATGTGACAAGAAAGGTTAAGGAAGGAAAAGTATTGCAGTGTAAGACAACAAATTTTAAGCCAACTTGATAATTAGAAACAGTGAGAAAAGATTGAAGAAGTGCAGCTGGAGAGGTAAGCACACAATCTAATTTTATTGTGGAGATTTAATTCATATTGGCTGGTTGGATGTGGGATGTAAATGATGACAATTTGGCGAGTTTTCTCAGTTGGGTTAATGACATTATTAACTAGGACGCTAAACCGATGAGGTGTAAGTTTGTCATAAAAGTAGAAAATCATATGGTTGAGATATATTGAATTTAAACATTCTATGGGATATCTAGGAATAGACGTCGTATTGGGCATCTTGCACAAATACTTAGATATCAGAAGACAAATCTAGACTGTGAAGCATTCCTCCATAGATAGTGGTTGGAGTTGTGGGTTATAAGGAATCCCAAAAATGAGGTTAGGAAGAAGGCTGACATGATAGCGTTAGAGTAATCAACATATAAGAAGTACGCACAAGAAGACCAACCCATATAGTTTATGAAATTGTGACAAACTGAAATTGATAATCTTTGAGAAAAAGATTAGGGAGAACTACAGCCGTTACTTGTGAAAAATGCAGATTTCTGGATTCTACCAAAGACTTACTGAATTGCAGTCTTTGAAGCTTTGCAAGATTGTGTTTTAAAAGTTAAGTAAAGATAGTCTATACTGTAAAAGACTATTAGAGTAGATCATCCTGTAATGAATTGAGGGTGAGTGGTAGATGAGGACATGGAGACACTGAAAAAAATCTACATGCTCATTTTAAGATTTGGCAGTGGAAGAAAGGAAAGAAAGAAATTGTAGGATGAGTGGGAAAATAAATATGTGTTGAGCATAAAAGATATAAAGGTAGGAAAGAGGTGATAGAAACAAATTAGGTAGGTAAGTTACCTCACCTGTCTTTATTTCAGTGTCTTTCAGTAGAAAAAGTACCTACTTCCTTAGGAGTCTCATGAAATTAAATAAAATAATCTAGAAAAGACGGTACAATACTTTTCACATGAAAAAGTACCACATAGATACTAGGTGTTTTATTAGTGATATTTCTTCAGTTTCTAGGATGGTCCTGGGCAAGTATAGGGTAAGAAATCCAAATGTCAACATCCATCCTTTATGTATCTCAAACACACACTAACTAGAAATAAAATACAGTACACTTACAAATAAGTAAATTGGTACATTCATCCACAGATATCTTGTTTTTGGGAATATTCTAAAGCATTTGAGAACAACAAATCCAACATTTTTCAGTTAGAATTCCCAGAAGAAAATCCCTATCAACAATATCTATAGCTCTTAAACTTAGAGGGAGTTTTGTGAGGAAAACGTGTTTCTGTGCTATCTATATATGCCTTGGTGGTAGAAAGGATATATTGTTCAGCAGTTAACATTTCAGACATTGGTTGATTTCCAGAAACGTACATGTTTCAACACTTGGATTTTCATCGTTATTTTTATTAGTCAAACCTGTCAACTAGTCCCCGAGGAAAAATTCGCAGTGAAAGTTTGCCAATTATAATTAAGACAAAACATGTGAGAGCAGTTACCTCTATGAGCACACCCTGGTGAACAGATATTTAACTCCTGAGTGAACAACAGGTAACATTGTACTTGGATGTTGGTAAACTGCTTCTAATGAAAATGTATTCAAAGCTACTTTTTTCCCCCTGCTGCTCTCCCTTTGGTTAATGCCTTTCTAGCAGAGATATATTTATAAATGCATAGTATGTGCTTAACATCCAAGAGTAGAAACAAATATCTGATCCTTACCAATAAGCATTCCAGAGAAGCACACACTCTAATTTATACTTGAGTTTGATATTTAATTAGGTGAATAGTCATGTTTACTCTCTCATAAATAATATTTAATGGCTTCCTGTGTAAATATAATATGCTGCTTCTTACCAAATGCCTTAGCTACACAATATTTGCTTAATAATAAACTCTTGGATGGTTTTAAAACAATATTTTATTTTATTTGCATGATTGCATGTGCTTCAGACTACAATGTAACAGCTTTGAGCTGTAAAATATTATTACACTATTATAAAACCATTACTTGTGACTTAAATTCAACAACCACGACAACAAACAAGGCAAAATCTTCTATCACAGTATGTTATTATGTTTACATATTGACCATGAAAATGATTTTAAAATGCATTTTTATCTCTAGCATTTAGGAAAATATACATCTTAAAGAAGCAGCATGTCAATGAACCATTCTAAATTAAGAGTGAAAACTTGGATGTAGCAACCTCCCAAAAAGAAGTCTATTTTTAATTACAAATGAGAGATTGGATTTGATAGTGTCCATGTTATTTGAGTGGATGTTATTTTTTAATGTACTTAGAATATCTTATACACATTGGAGTTTTAGACATCACATTATAATAAATAATGAATAAGAATTCCGTTTTTTCCTCAGCCCAAGAAACCTACATCATATATTTATTGACTTAAAGTTTTAGGAGTTGAGACCATTTGAATAGTGTCTCAGGAATAAAGAATAGAGACAGGGAGTTAAACTTAGTGGGGGTATATGTGTGTATGTGTGTGCATGTGCGTGTGTGTGTGTGTGTTGAAATCTCTCTCTCTCTCTCTCTCTCTCTCTCTCTCTCTCTCTATATATATATATATATATAACGTTTTAACCATTTTTAAGTGTGCTGTCTAGTGGAATTAAGCACATTACCATTGTGTTAATTTGGGTCTTGAGGGCTAAATATCAAGTCTTAAATATGCTATCATTCAACATTACTTTTGCTTTTCAGAGCGCATGTGCTGTTGAGGAAGGCAGATCTGCCTAAACTAGTTATGATTTAGAGAAAAATATTTTAATAGTTAAAGAGCAATGGGATAGAGATATTGTTTGCTAAGCAGGAGGAATTGCTTTTAGTACTGGAATAGGATGAAACTAGGGATTCTAGGCCCAATACCATATATATTCATTAGTAGGAATGACAATATTTTGTCTACTTGTTAACATTTTTGTCTTATTTTCAAATTGCTTCTAAACTTGAGAAATGCAAGTGCTGCTATTTTTTGCTATAATCTTTCCTCCACTTTCAGAATAATAGGCCATTAATAAACCATTTAAAATAGACATGAATATTGTCATATCATCAAATTGAAAGCATGTGTGGTAACACTGACCTTTATTGCTTATATGAAAACTTGATCTCCCATGTTGAGCTGCTTCTAGCAAAATGGGCATAATTCAAATGAGCTCAAAGATAAAGATAAAATGATAGAAAGAAAAAAAGTTTAGTGAGTTTGTATCCAAGATATTTAAGAATATGCCTGATGAATTAGGAAAATCAGTGTGTTCATTAAGGATTGATGAAAATGTTACCACTGACCCTTGAAAAGGTAAACACTCAATGAAGTGCCACATAATTTTATGTTTTAGAACACTGTGTCTACAATCACCACCTTTCTAAAAATGTAGCTTACACATCAGATATATTTTATAGGTGTTATTCAACTGTCTTAAGAGAAATATCATCCCATAAATTTGATTGGTTTTTGTTCTTTTCTATATTCATAGTAACTCATCAAATTAACAGTTTAAGTTTATTCTTCCAAATGTTGCACATTTACCCACTATCAAGAAAATCAGGTCAAACTTACATATATATATATAGATACACATACACACACACACAGACACACACACAAAGTGACATGATGGGAATTTGTATTAATGTTTAATTCGCTCTGCAAGTCCTGGAATTCTTTCACACAACTGCTCATTGCAGGCTGAATAAAATGCTCATTGATTCCTCTGAGATTTGGGGACATAGATTTTTCAGTCTACTAAGAACATTTTTTATTTCCCACAGTGTAAGTAATCTTCAGTAAAATGACTGTATCTTTAGGTAAAACATATTAAAACTGTCAACCGTTTTAAACATTTACTGCAGAATGAATTTCTGCCATTACCACTGAATACTGCTTCCTGAACACATGTCCACATAGTATTTCCTTAGAGACATCTTGTTGAAAGATGTCTGAATCTGATCTGTATTTAGGCTGACATTCCCATTATTCCAAATGGGAAAGTGTCAGCAATTACAGTTCATTCACTGAATGACAGGCACTGTTGATATTCATAGATTTTCCCTCTTAGTGTCTTTCTTGGTTCATCATTTAAAGTCTCTTTTTATTTTTTTTAACAGAATTTCGTCTCAAATCCAAGAAATTTCATTGTGTAATAAATTCCTGAGACCAACAAGAAACAGTATGATCTGAAAGGAAGGAGAGACTTACAAGGAAAGAAGAGCAGTAATTATTACTAGTTAGCAGGCCTGGCCCACAATGAAATCAGAAATAGCTGAAATTTATCTTTAGTCCATCTCTTCTCTTATATCAGCTTTCTGTCAATATACCTTTCCAGCCTCTTCAGCTCCTTATTTCCAGAGATGCAGAGACATTGGGCCACAGTTGCTGTTTACCTTTCCTGGGAGAGATTCACTTTTTATTCATCTGTTTCCTCACTTCTTAGAAAAATAATTATTGTTATATAATTTTACTGTATTCTGCCTTATTGGCTAATGTGAATTATCTCATGTAGGTTTATTAATTTGAAGAAATACATTTTACCATAGTGTGCTAATCTATCATGCTTTCTTGTCTGGCATGAGGAAGGTTCATCCATACCTTATCAGAAATTGAGGCCAGTGCATTCTTTCTTCATGCCATATCTTAATTCCTTTTTAGTGTTACTTGCTGTTTTGAACGAAACATCTAAACTTAGCTGGCAGCTACCATCTCCAGCAGCCACCAGACACCTGGACAAAGGAGCACCAGCAAGAGATTCACCTTCGTGGATCCACAGGTGGTCTCCCTCTCAGAGGCTGGATTGTGGGCATGGCTTCAATGATATAATGTGAAAGTATTAAAGTTTTAATACTTATAGACCCTGGACAGTCCAAGGCAGGCCTTGAAGCCACATATTCAGAAGTCAGGAAGAAAAAGAAAGGAACTCATGGGTCAACAATGTAGTGTGGTCCATAGCATTTTTCAAACAGGTTTCCTGCAAAGAGTTTTAATTAGTGGATTTAAAGCAAGGAGGTACAAGTTCCAGGAGGTGATGCAGTGACTGCTGCACAGTTCATGCAGGGTGTGAGGTCAACAGGTCGTCAAGTAAGCTGACTCTAGCTGTTCTGTAGTGACTGGTCATGAAGGAGATATTTTATAAGGCAGATATTTAGATGAACCACATTGAGGAGCTGGGGGTGGGTAATGTAGAACTGGAAATTGTGTCAAGGATAGTTGAGCCCTGCTTCTAGTATGAGAAAGTCCAACATATATTCAAAATGGCTGCTGAGGCAACATAAAATTATAAACATTCAATAAAGTGTCTTAATTCAGATCTATAACTATTCATTGTTTGTAGTGGTTTTGAAACATGTCTTCTTATTTATGGTATTTACATTTTCCAGGCTTTCAAGGACTTCCTGATTGACTTAAACATTCTATATGTTGCTTGCAACTTCTCAGTCCACCTTTGTAAAATTTGGTTGTGATTTTTAAGAAATATGGCTGGCTGTGTAGTCAACAGAATTACTTCCAGTGTAGTTACTAAACATACTAAAGTATTTTTCAAATCAACTTCATTGAGCCATGATTTACGTACAATAAAATGTATTTAAGTAAATTTAAGTGTACAGTTCAGTGAGTTTTGACAAATATATATATATGCCCCTGAAACCATATTACAATCAAGATATAGAACATTTTCATCACCCTGAAAAGTTATGTCCTCTATAATCATCCACTAACACCCTTGGCTCTAGTCAATCCCTGATGGATGAAATGTTGTCAAAATTATTTTTAATGTATGGCTGAAAAAAAATTTCACAGTCCAGAAACAATCAGAAATTGAAAAATCAGAGGAATAAACAAACACTGGAGCTTGTGTTGTCCTGATAAGTTGGTGAATCTTGGAGGCCCACAGCCCCAGTTTAATTGGGATATTTGCAAAAATTGAGCACATACTAGGTCATAAAGCAAGCCTCAACAAATTCCAAAAAGGAAAGATTATACAGACTGTATCCCCTGTATAGTAAGGTAATTAAGATGGAGATAAGTGACTTTACTTCTTAATAGCTCAAGGATGAAAGAAGAAATTATAACAACAATAAGGAACATACAATTAAACTATTTAAGAAACCCATATTTAAATAAATAAGATATAGCTAAATAATTTTAGAGAGGGAAAACTGTATATTTAAATGCTCATTTTTAAAAGGAAGAAAGCCTGAAAATGTGATCTGGGTTTTGAACTAAAAAATTCAAAAAAGGAACAATGTATTACATTGCGTGTACTCTGGCCCCAGGAAAGCAGGGGTGACCTTGAGACAGTTAATACTTTCATTCCTGAAGGGATAGCATGGCGTCCACCCCATCCCCAGGACTACCCTAAATTCCTCCATTATTTTTCATCTATTTTGTCTAAGCTTGGGGAAATCTTTTACAATGGCTTTCAAATCTAATAGAGATCATGGCTTAATATTAACCACAAGAGACTTCCTTTGAAGGAGCCTCATTTTAAAGGGACGGCTGAGCTTTGAGAATGTCTATTTGACCACAGTGGAAGAAAGAGAGCCAAAGAAAGAGTAGAAGCAGGGAGCAATAAAGATTTGTAAGATATCAGAAAGGAAATATAGGATAAAGATAGGTTCAAGTTGTAGTTTAGGGTAATCCAATTTCAACATAATACTAAGTTTTCTATATATTTTTATTTGACTTGTTAAAGGAATTCTTAAGCAAGCAATTTTTGAATTTGAATGCTTTTCTGCAGTCTTCCTCATACCAGTGAAAAGCATATGTAGATGATATGGTTTGCTGTGTCCCATTCAATTCTCATCTTGAATTGTAACTCTCGCAATTCCCACGTGTCATGGGAGGAACTCAGTGAGTGGGAGGTGATTGAATTTTGGGGGCGGGTCTTTCCTTTGCTGTTCTTATGATAGTGAATAAGTCTCATGAGATCTGATGGTTTAAAAAAAATGGGAATTTGACTGCACAAGCTCTCTCTTTGCCTGCCACCATCCACGTAAGATGTGACTTGCTCCTCCTTGATTTCTGCCATGATTGTGAGGCTTCCTCAGTTACCTGGAACTTTGAGTTCTCCATTAAACCTCTTTCCTTTGTAAATTGCCCAGTCTCGGGTATGTCTTTATCAGCAATGTGAAAATGGATTAATACAGTTAACCACTGAATGTTTGGGAATTTGTCCCCTTTATTGTTCTATGAATAACTTTTGTATTAAAAAATATTGTGCAAGGCGTTTGAGTACCATGGTGTGTGGCTTGGTATTTCTCCTACTGGGGTTGCCTCCACCTGACCTATTTTTTTCCAGCACCCAAGTTTGGATCTCTAGACCATGTAGAAGTTCTGTGAGAAACTTGATATTCGTTAAATGCCTTTGTGCTTAAACTCAGTAAAGTAGATTCTTATGTCTATAGGTAACATTCATAAATTGATATAGCACTATTCCAGTAACATAGAACTGGAAAAGTCAACCTAGAGTGCTGTGCAAGTTGTCTATTGGGTATGTCCCATATCTTGAACCGGTATATATCTTCCCTGAGAAATAATCACATACCATACAATTTACCCATTTAAAATATATAGTTCAATGGTTTTTATTATATTCACAGAGTTGTTCAGCCATCACCACAATATCATTTTGGAAAATTTTCGTTACTTTTAAAATAAGCCCCATACCAATTAGTAGTCCTTCTCTGTTCCTCCCTATTCTTCCCAGGCAATAATTAATCTACTTTCTATCTATAGATTTTCCTACTGTGAACATTTCATGTAAATGGAGTCATACAATATATGGTGTTTTTGTCACTTGTTTCTTTCACTTAGCATGATGTTCTCAAGGTTTATTCATATTGTAGCTTGTATGACTTCTTTGCTCCATTTTTCTTTTTTCCCCACTTCTTCCTTTCAAATATACTGTATTTATATCCATCACTCAGTAACAACTCCAATGCAAGAACAGGTGTGTAACCCCTGGGTCCAGGGCCCACTGGTGTGGCTGGAAGCTGTTGCTCCAGTGGAGCCATTGATGATGCCTGCTTGCTCATTCCATACATACGTCCCTCCCTAGACACTGGGAAGCTGGCTGCCTTGCACTGCCATTGGGTAAGCTCGACTGGAATGCTCTGGCCAGATGTACTGAAAAGGGGGCCATTGTGTCTCATTTATTCTTCTGGTAGAGGCTCTGATTTTGGCTAAATACAGATGTCATGAGAGCTAGAGAGGGCTTGGAAGGATGAGTGCGTGTTCTTGGAAGGTAGGTGAAGTGGGGTGTCTCTGGGACCAATACTGTGCCCCACCATATGCTCCAGGCCTGCTCTGGGATGGCTGAATCACACATGATGCTGGACTCTGTTTGTCATCACAGCTACCTTGTCACACAGAGGTAGGCAAATGAAGGATGGTAAAGCAGAAGTTCCACACATGTTCACATTCACCTGGTCGAGCTTGGATCATAATCTCTAAAGAAACAACCTTGAACACCATAATCCTAAGTGTTGACATAACAAAAGATCAAAATTCCTAAAGTTAAAATCCCTAAAGTCTAAAATCCCTAATGTCAAAAATCTGAATATCGCAATCACAGAATAGTGCATCATATTAGTCCAGCTCTTCTGTACTATCTCCATGCAATTGCTCCTAATCGACCCCTAATATAAAAGTGTATCCTGTAATATACTTTTTCATATATGACATTTTCTTTTCAGCTTTTTAAAATTTTTTTCCCACTATTTCAATTTGTCAGAATTATTTTTTAAAATTCACTATGCCATGTATTTTATCTTCATGTCATTTCCAGTACTGGAGATATAAATTGTGCAGAAATTTATTAATTCATTTTATGCAATTTTTTTTGCAAATTTGACTCCATAAAAGTGTATTGTCACAACACTGACTTTGTGTATAAGCATTGTACATGTATGTAGAAATATTGAAACTTCCTCAATAAATGAAGAGATATATTTTTATTTTTTGTACATCTGTATTTGTGAAAGATAAAATTTATTGACATCTCAGCTCTCTGGGTGACTGCATATGTGGTGGTGACCTGTCTCAGTTTTTGATCTATTTCCTCAAAAGGTTTTGATGGTTCATCATGATACTTCAGATGACCACAGTTAGAAGGCTGGTGCACACAATGACCAATAATGGTAGTAGGTTTTTATACATTTCCCTTTTTGACCTATTTATTTATGAATATGGCTTATCTGTTTATTGCTGTTTTACTCTTGAAACTGTCATTAGTATACCCATTTATGTTTACAGAAATATGTATGTTATTATTGCCTAATTTATGGTGTAAAGTGGCCTATGAAGTGTTCTATTGTTGCTTGATGTTTCTTAAATAACCCACCTTACAAAAAGGTAAATACATATATCATAATTTTTGAAATTATTTTTTCCAGAACTATGTTTTTTGGATTTGATCTTTTGAGATTTCAACATTCAAGATTATGGTGTCTGGGATTGTGTCTTTTCAAATTATGATCCACTCCCAGCCTGGATTATGAGGCAAATAATTTTTTTATTTGATTTTTCTTGTCCAAAGGCTTTTTTTCCATTTTGATAAAACTGCACAGAATATAAAGTTTACCATTTTTAAATGTGCAGTTCGGTGGTATTAAATATATTTATTATGCTGCACAGCTATCATCAACATCTATCCTGATAATTCTTTGACTTTGTAAAGCTGAAAATTCATACCCATTAAACAATAAATCTACATTTCCTTCTGCCCCAATACCTAGCAGCCACCATTCTACTTTATGTTTCTACAATTTTGACTGCTCTAAGTACCTCCTATAAGTAGAATCATGTGGTATTTGACTTTTTTGACTGACTTATTTCACTTTGCATAATGTCTTCAAGCTTCATCTATGTTGTAGCACATGTCAGAATTTTCTGTCCTCTTTAAGGCTGCAAAATATTCCATTATGTGAATATAACTTATTTTTCTAAGAATCAGTTAGTCAACGTTTGGGTTCATCCCACATTTTGGCTATCATGAATAATGCTGTCATGAACATTTATATACAATTGTTTGTGTGAGCATAAGTTTTCATTTGTTTTCATATATACTTAAGATCACACAGTAATATGTTTAACATTTTGGGGAACTACCAAACTGTTTCCAAAATAGATGCACCATTTTATTTTATATTACTACCAGCAATGTATAAAAGTTCCAATTTCTTCTCAACCTTGACAACGTGTATTATTCTCCTATTATCCATTTTATAATCATTCTATTGGGTATGAAGTGGTATCTCACTGGAGTTTTGAATTGAACTTCACAAATGATTAATGATGTTGAACATCTTTTCATGTTCTTATTGGATATTTTTATATCGATTTTGATAAATATGGCCTTTGCTCATTTTGAATTAGATGACTTTCCTTTTTGTTGTTGAGTTGCAAGAGTCACCATAAATTCTAGATACAAGTCCTTCATCAGATATAGGATTTATGAATATTTCCTATATTTTTACTTTCTTGATGATGCCCTTTGAATAAAAATGTTTTAATATTAATGAAGTCCAATTTATCTATATTTTCTTTTTGTTGTTTGTGCTTTTTAAAATTTTATTTATTTATTATTTCAATAGCTTTTGTAGAACAGGTGGTGTTTGGTTACATGGATAAGTTCTTTAGATGTGATTTCTGAGATTTTGGTGCACACATCACCTGAGCAGTGTATGCTGTACCCAATATGCAGTCTTTAATCCCTCACCCTCCTCCCACCCTTCCCCTCAATTCCCCAGAGTCCATTATATCATTTTTAATGCCTTTGCTTGCTCATATCTTAGCTCCCACTTATAAGTGAGAACATACTATGTTTGGTTTTCCATTCGCGCATTGCTTCACTTAGAATAATGGTCTCCACCTCTATCCGGGTTGCTGCAATGCCATTATTTCATTCCTTTGCATGACTGAGTAATATCCCAGCTGAATTCTATCAGACGTTCAAAGAAGAATTGGTACAAATCCTATGGAAACTATTCAAAAAAAAAAAAAAAACAGAGAAAGAAGGAATCCTCCCTAAATCATTCTATGAACCCAGTATTATCCTAATACCAAAGCCAGGAAAAGACATAATAATGCCACTGCCAACAAAGCTATAGACCAATATCCCTGATGAACACAGATGCAAAAATCCTCAACAAAATCCTAGCTAACTGAATCCAACAGCATATCACAAAGATAATACAACGTGATCAAGTGGGTTTTATACTAGGGATGCAGGATCGGTTTAACATATGCAAATAAACAAATGTGATACACCACATAATAAGAAGTAAAAAGAAAAATCATATGATCATCTCAATAGATGCAGAAAAAGCATTTGACAAATCCAGTATTCCTTTATGATTAAAACTCTCTGCAAAATTGGCATAGTAGGGACATACCTTAAGGTAATAAAAACCATCTATGACAAATGCACTGCTAACATTATACCGAACGGGGAAAAGTTAAAAGCATTTCCCCTGAGAACTGGAACAAAACAAGAATGCCCACTTTCACCACTTTCATTCAACCCTAGCACTGAAAGTTCTAGCCAGACCAATCAGAGAAATAAATATATTGATCAAGAGAAAGAAATAAAGGGCATCCAAATTGGTAAAGAGGAAGTCAAATTGTCTCTGTTCACTGATGACATGATTGTATACCTAGAAGACTCTAAAGGCTCATCCAAAAAGCAACTAGCTCTGATAAATGAATTCAGTAAAGTCCAGGATACAAAATCGATGTAGACAAATAAATAGCACCTATACACCAACAGTGACCAAGCTGAAAATCAAATCAAAGGCTCAATCCCTTTTACAACAGCTGCCAAAAATAACATAAAAAATACTTAGGATTAAACCTAACCAAGGATGTGAAAGAGCCCTCCAAGGGAAACTACAAAACACTGCTGAAATGAATCTAGATGACATAAACAAATAGAAACACATCCCATGCTCATGGATGGGTAGAATCAATATTGTGAAAATGACCGTAATGCCAAAAGCAATGTACAAATTTAATGCAATTCCCATCAAAATACCACCATAATTCTTCACAGAACTAGAGAAAATATTCTAAAATTCATATGGAACAATAAAAGACCCTGCATAGCCAAAGCTAAGGCTAAGCAAAACAAAATCAGCAATAATAATAATAATAATAATCCCATCAAAAAGTGAGTTAAGGACACGAATAGAGAATTCTCAAAAGAAGACATACAAATGGCCAACAAACATATGAAAAAATGCTCAACATCGCTAATAATCAGGGAAATACAAATCAAAACCACAATGCGACACCACCTTACTCCTGCAAGAATAGCCATAATTAAAAATAAAAAATAATAGATGTTGGGATGGATGTGGTAAAAAGGGAACACTTTTACACTGCTGATGGGAATATAATCTAGTACAACCACTCTGAAGAACAGTATGGAGATTCCTTAAAGAACTAAAAGTAGACCTACCATTTGATCCAGCAATCCCACTACTGGTTATCTACCCAGAGGAAAAGAAGTCATTCTATGATAAAGACACTTGCACATGCATGTTTATAGCAGCACAATTCGCAATTGCAAAAATATGGAACCAGCATAAATGCCCATCAACTGAGTGGATAGACAACTAAATGCAACTTGAGATCCTGGATGACATTCTGCATTGAGGGTGGGGAAAGGCCTAAGGAGAGCCAGACTTTAGGCAATTGGGACAACTAGTTGTTTGAATAATTAATTAGACATGGCTGAAAGAATAATCTCGGAGGTGGTGCTGAGCATAGAATTTAATAACTCCCTTGTAGAACATTGTATTTCTCCAGTGTAACATTTCTCAAATGATAGTGACATGTCTGTATCTTTTACTAGAATGTAAGCTCCGTGAACACAGTGAGTTGTCACATCTATCTGGTTCACCACTCTGTCAAAGTGCTCAATGCATTGCCAATAAATGTGGTTTAAAACATAAAAAAAAAGAAAATATTGCTTGTGCTTTTGATGTCATAGTTAAGAAACCACTGCCAAACCAAGGTTACAAAAGTTTATTTCTATGCTTTTTACTAAGAGTTTTATAGGCTTAGCTCTTCCATTTTGTGTTAATTTTTGTGAATAGTATGAGATAGGAGTCTGAATTTATTTTTTTTTAATGTCCGTATATAGTTGTTCCAGCTTCATTGGCTGAAAACTCACCACTGAATTGTTTTGCCACACACATAAAAAGCCATTTGACCACAAATGTATGACTTTATTTCTGAACTCTTAATACGGTTAATTAATTGATATGTCTACCCTTCATCCAGTACCACTCTGTCTTTATTACAAGAGATTTTTAGTAAGTTTTTAATGAAGGAAATGTTAGCTGTTTCACTTTGTCCTTTCAAAATGTTATCTTTGTCTTTGGGTTTTAACGTTCTGATCATGATATATCTGTGCGTAGATTATTTGTATTTATCCTACTTGGAGTTCATTAAATTTTAGGATATACAGATCGTTTTCCATCACATTTGGAAAGTTTTCTGCCATTAATTTTTCCAATATGTGGCCGGGTGCAGTGGCTCATGCCTGTAATCCCAGCACTTTGAGAGGCCGAGTTGGGTGGATCATGAAGTCAAGAGTTTGAGACCAGCCTGACCAACATGGTGAAACCCTGTCTCTACTAAAAATAGAAAAATTAGCTGGGCTTGGTGGCGTGCACCTGTAATCCCAGCTACTCAGGAGGGTAAGGAAGGAGAATTGCTTGAATCCCAGAGGCGGAGGTTGCAGTGAGCCGAGATTTCGCCACGGCACTCCAGCCTGGGCGACAGAGCGAGACTGTCTCAAAAAAAAAAAAAATTCCAATATGTTTCCTATTCCAATATGTCTTTCTCTCCTCTTCTGGTGCTTCTAGAATGTTGTTGCATTAACTGATACTCTTATTTCTCTGAGATTTTGTTTACTTTTCTTTATTTTTTTTCCTTGTCCTGAGATTGTCATTCTCTATCCACCTGTCTTCAAGGGTGTTGATTTCATTTTCTTCTACAAGGCTATATCTACTATGGATTCCCTTTAGAAATTTTCCATATTGAGCATTTTAATTTTCACCTCCAGAACTTCTATTTGGTTTTTAAAAATGTTTTATCTCTTTATTGATATCTCTAATTTAATGAGACATTGCTGT
The DNA here is from genome assembly GCF_000001405.40 of Homo sapiens. Taxonomy (NCBI): domain Eukaryota; kingdom Metazoa; phylum Chordata; class Mammalia; order Primates; family Hominidae; genus Homo; species Homo sapiens. The sequence continues at coordinate 100,091,487 of NC_000005.10, read as the reverse complement.
TATACTATCCCTTACTTAATCATGATTTTCTTTAATTTTTTAATATTAGCATTTCTATTTATATTAGATGCTTTGAAGTTTTGTTTTTATTTTGGTCTGTATCTCGGCCCTGTCAAAATGTTTCTATTGGCCACTTTTCTTTTTAGTTTTCTGTGTATGGGACATATTTTCCCACTTCTTTGCATGGTGTTTTAGTTTGCTCTTCTGTAACAGAATACCATGGATTGGGTGGGTAAAACAATAAATAATAATTTACCACAGTTCTGGAGGCTGGAATGACCAAAATCAAGGTGCCAGCAGATTCAGTAGTTGGTGAGCACATTCTCTTCGTATACTCACATGGCTGAGGGCAAAGAGAAAAAGGATGAGCTCTTACAGTGTTCTGATAAGAGGAAATGAATGTGCTTCATCTTCATAACCTAACTACCTCTCAAAGGCCCCACCTCCTAATACCATCATATTGGAAGGGCACAAACATTCTGTCCATAACACATATTTCATAATTGTGTGCTGGAAACTGGATACTTTAGACAATATATTGTATCAACTCTGGATACTTATCCCTTCAAAAGCATGTTATTGTTTGGTTGTTTACTTGTTTGTTTACTGATTTGAATGGAGGATTTGGGTGAAGTTTATTTACCCCACAGTATGCAGCTTCTGATGTCATACCTTATATTGTGCAGCGTGGGTTTGTATTAAGTCCCTGACTACCAGTGAGAGGACTGGTAATTTAGCCAGGATGTCTCTTTGACCTTTGCTTTCTCAGTTGATTAACTGGCTCATCTGCCTCTTATTATCTTATATGGTTTGGCTGTGTTCCCAACGCAATCTCATCTTGAATTGTAGCTCCCACATTTCCCACCTGTTGTGGGAGGGACCCAGTGGGAGGTAATTGAATCATGGGGGCAGGTCTTTCCTGTGCTGTTCTCATGATAGTGAATAAGTCTCATGAGATCTGATGGTTTTATAAAGGGGAGTTTCCCTGCACAAGTTGTCTTCTCTTGTCTGCTGACACGTAAGGTGTGCATTTCGCCTTCAGCCATGATTGTGAGGCCTCCCAGCCACGTGGAACTGTGAGTCCATTAAACTTTTTTTAATTTATAAATTACCCAGCCTCTGGTATGTTTTTATCAGCAGCGTGAAAACAGACTAACACATGATCGGACACTCAGCCTCCATTGTTGACCTCCACCAAATTCTAGCTGATTGTTGTATTGTTTTTGACCAACGGGGCATGTATTATAAAACAGTCTGATCCAATTAATGTTGGGCCGCTTTGCACGAGTAGATATTTTAGGCTTAGTCTGACCTTATACTTTAGGAGGGCCCTTCTTAGCTGTTTCTTTCCCTGTTTCTCTCTTATAAACATAATCTTGTAGCTGGTCTCCTACTTTTGTCTCCTTTTAGTTGTTCACAATCAAAATCTCCAGTGTTTTTGACAATACCCTTAGACATAAAATTCTACACTGCCTTCCAAATATAGTTGGTCTCCTTAGGAAAAGCTGAGGTGACTCTATTCTGGTGGCCTGCTTCTTAGCTAGGAAGACTCTAAATAAGAACCTAAACTAAGGACTCTGATTCAGAGGTGATGATCTTGAGCCCTTTTGGCAAGGTGGTTTCTGCTGGATCTTGGTGGAGTCTCCGGAATTTTCAAAGATCTTCACTCCACACCAAGATCACTGGGAAAATTTGTTAATCAACAAAAATTAAGCTTATTAAACTTACCACAGCAAGAGAGAACATGAACTACTTAGCAGAGCCTTATTTGTGTTTCAAATCATTGAAAGGAGAAAGGGTTATTAAAAGAAATAAGACTTTTATTTTGGTATTTTAGGTGGATTTTACAAGATAAGAAACTTGAAATTAAACAGAATTATGATATAGCTTTGGATTGGTGGGTTCCTCAAATCGATGGTCTTAAAATGAGTCTTGATAGTGTTCTTAGTTTTGACATGTAGAATCATTTATTTGGGTTGCAAACTCATTTTCTGTGAGGAAATAATTTCCTAGGGCCAACTGCTAGGTTATTTTTTGTTTGGTGTCAGAATTGTTTAACTAGGAATAGAAAAATGTGCATGGTTTCATTTTTTATGTAGGGACAGGTAATTATATTGTCTTCATTTCTCACCATCTATATACATCCTATTTTTGAGAAGGAATGTGGAGGAAATAATATTAAGGAAAAAAAACAGGACAAATAAGCTACTTATTGAACATTTATAACTCAATTACATTTGGTGTTTGAACTTTCTATGCATAATAAAAATATTTAAATTAACATTGGTAAAACAAGGCTAAACTTTTAACCTTTTCTGCTGAAATTACTTATATAAAAATTTAAGGCCAAAATATTTTAAGTTTTATCTGTCCTCAGGTTTATTTGAAATGTGGTTCTTTATTTAAAATTCTTTCATATATTTGTCTAAGTTTCTTCTTTGGTCCTAATAATTTGGTTTAACTGTGATATTTTTATCTCTGTCTTCATTTTTCAATATTATTCTTGTTAATGGGCTGCAAACAAAATGCACATAGAGCCAATTAGGGTCAGATACATTTAAACTAATTAATAAGACTTGCATTTTCTCCCATTTTGTAGGTTGCCTGTTCACTCTGATGGTAGTTTCTTTTGCTGTGCAGAAGCTCTTGAGTTTAATTAGAACCCATTTGTCAATTTTGGCTTTTGTTGCCATTGCTTTTGGTGCTTTAGACATGAAGTCCTTGCCCATGCCTATGTCCTGAATGGTATTGCCTAGGTTTTCTTCTAGGGTTTCTATGGTTTTAGGTCTAACGTTTAAGTCTTTAAGCCATCTTGAATTGATTTTTGTATAAGGTGTAAGGAAGGGATCCAGTTTCAGCTTTCTACATATGGCTAGCCAGTTTTCCCGGCACCATTTATTAAATAGGGAATCCTTTCCCCATTGCTTGTTTTTCTCAGATTTGTCAAGATCAGATAGTTGTAACCTACTCATCTGACAAGGGGCTAATATCTAGAATCTACAATGAACTCAAACAAATTTACAAGAAAAAAACAACCGCATCAAAAAGTGGGTGAAGGACATGAACAGACACTTCTCAAAAGAAGACATTTATGCAGCCAAAAAACACATGAAAAAATGCTCACCATCACTGGCCATCAGAGAAATGCAAATTAAAACCACAATGAGATACCATCTCACACCAGTTAGAATGGCGATCATTCAAAAGTCAGGAAACCACAGGTGCTGGAGAGGATGTGGAGAAATTGGAACACTTTTACACTGTTGATGGGACTGTAAACTAGTTCAACCATTGTGGAAGTCAGGGTGGCAATTCCTCAGGGATCTAGAACTAGAAATACCATTTGACCCAGCCATCCCATTACTGGGTATATACCCAAAGGACTATAAATCATGCTGCTATAAAGACACATGCACACTTATGTTTATTGCGGCATTATTCACAATAGCAAAGACTTGGAACCAACCCAAATGTCCAACAATGATAGACTGGATTAAGAAAATGTGGCACATATACACCATGGAATACTATGCAGCCATAAAAAATGATGAGTTCATGTCCTTTGTAGGGACATGGATGAAATTGGAAATCATCATTCTCAGTAAACTATCACAAGAACAAAAAACCAAACACCGCATATTCTCACTCATAGGTGGGAATTGAACAATGAGATCACATGGACACAGGAAGGGGAACATCACACTCTGGGGCCTGTTGTGGGGTGGGGGGAGGGGGGAGGGATAGCATTGGGAGATATACCTAATGCTAGGTGACGAGTTAATGGGTGCAGCGCACCAGCATGGCACATGTATACATATGTAACTAACCTGCACATTGTGCACATGTACCCTAAAACTTTAAGTATAATAATAACAATAAAAAAGACTTGCATTATAATGACTAAGTAAATATTGTTCAATTCAGAGCCAAAGGATGTGCTACTACATATATAGACACATATATATATAGATAGATAGATAGATGGATGGATGGATAGATAGATAGATAGATAGATAGATAGATAGATAGATAGATAGATAGATATAGATGTATTTTGTCACAGTTGCCATCATCCCATCACCAGGAGGTACTTATTGCTTATATTTTTCTTATCTGCCTTTTTATGACATGCCTAAACTGTGTCAATGTCTCAAGCTTATCTATTGATCTACGGAATCCAAGAGATGCAAAAGCATTTATATCCACCTGGCCCTCTTACCCTGTTACCCTCTTCATCTGTTCTCATCATTGAGTCTAATGATTTCTTTAGGCCTTCTGCATAGATGTTGTTCTCTAATTGTACTTTCCTTACTTTTCTGAGTCCAAATTTTGTTTGCTTCAGTCTTCTTGGAATAATCTCATATTTTGCAAAGCAATCCTCAGGTTACTTCTTAGCATATGGTATTCAAGGGGTAAAATTTCTGGATGTTTTTATATCCAAAGTTGCCTTTATTCTGCACTTCACTTGACAATTTTGTTGGGCAAAATTTGTAGTTGAAATCTTTTATTTGTAGTTGAAAACCTCAGTATATTTTCTTCCAGCAATCAGTTTGATGTTAACCTGATTCACATTACTTTTTTTTTTACAGAAATTTCAGAATCCTTGACTTTATCCACAGTGTTCTGAAATTTCATGACAAGTGTGTTCACATATATTATCTTCTTCAGCATGAACGGCAGTTTAAAGAAGCTTGTCACTCTTAAATCCAGCATATTGGTGTAAATGATTGTATAATCAAGCTTTCTGCCTTTGAAACTGTTGGACATTTGGAATCAATTAGGTACTTTATATTTTCGACTTATCTTTTATTCTACATTTTTGGGTATTTTCTTCATTTTAGTTTCTAATCTTTCTATTGCATTTTATTTTTTTCAGTTATATTTTTAATTTCCAAGAGATATTTCTCCCTCTCTGAACATTGCTATTTCATGGTATCTCTTATTCTTATATTATCATTTATCTGAGGCTACTAAATTAAATTTAGTTCTAAATATTTGGATTACCTCTACTCTAACATCAAATTGTGTATTTTATTATCTAGAATTTTTCTCTTTCCTCCTGCAATTTCTGAAACAATTTGGATAACCCTTGGTTTCCCTCTCATATTTAAGAATAAAACAAAATAAATTCTTAGGAGCTCTGAGGGTATGGGTCAAGCACACCTAGTTTTAAGTTCTACTTTAAGAAATAGTCAAGGATCTTTTAGAATTATGTTCTCCAAACTTTAATTTAAAATACCAGACCTCTTATTAGATTGGACCAAAGATTTCTTCTCTTCACACTGTACACCACACCAGGTAAATTGTCCCTGATTTTTAAACATTGTATTTAGTTGTGATTATCTAATTTCTGTGTAGTGATCATTTTGTAGAAAGGGCAGGGAAGATATGTAGAGAAGTTCGACTTTTTCAATGTAACCTTTTAATTAATACCTGCCCTTCTCCTTCCTGCCCTCCATTGAATGTACATTAATTGTATTCCTGTGTCTTGGGGTATAAGCTAAGCTAAATAACTGAACCCATTGCTTTAGCTCCATTTTGTGGGGCATATCCATCACAATTAACACTATTTCCTTAGTTTTTCATCTTTGAGAAATGTGTTGACTCTCTTGCCTGGTGATAGCATGGCAAGAATTTTCTTCCCATTTTCCTTGTGCTTCTGGCTTATCCTTTTTCCCCTCAAGTTTCTTTAATGTCATTCTGTTGGGTTTTTAGTAGAACAGGAAATAAACTCAGAAGTTGAGCTAGACATTCTAATCTTATTATGCTTTAACAATAGTGTAGGCACCCCACTATTTAATCACATTCAAAAACTCTTTTCACCTACTATGTAAGCAATAGTTAGAGAGTATATTGCTATTGTTGAGAGCAATTAGATGGATGACCGTGTGCTGTCCGTGGCAGTGTACATTGATATTATTATTATGAAAACAAATTTGGCTATATGGATCAAGACACTTAAAGATTTAATGTCTGGTAATTGTAACAATCTGTCCTAAGCAACTATCTAGAGACTTGTATGAAGAACTCTGAACAGAGCTGTTCATAGCAGTTTAAAATAATAAGTTTTAATTAACCAAACTGTCAAAAAGTTAGGAAGTTATTATACAAAAATATAGTAACAACTGTGGAAAGAAATTTTAGGCAACGAACAAAAATCAAGACATGTTTAAATGATGACAATATAATATTAGAGGAGAAAGCAGGATAAAACTGTGTATTCAATAAAATTGAATTGTAAGTCATTACCCTTTTTTTTAGTCAAAACAGTCAAATATTGCCATTTTAAATAAAAATATAAATGTATTTTAAATAAGTATAATTATATGACTTTAAAATTTCATAAGTCAAAATGGATTATATAAATATAAATTAAATTGGATAGAATGATTACAGGGAGAAAATACTAACAGGTGTTATCTTGAGGTGATATAATTTCGGTTGATTTTTATTTTTCAAATTATCTATAGAGAATGCACTGTATTTGTAATCAGAGTAAAAACTACTAGTTTCTATCCATGTTTTGGAGTTCACACTGTGAACAACTTGTAAACTTCAAAATATCTTGGCTATTAAATACTTATCCAGAATGAGTGACACAGATGTAGGAAAACATATTCTAGTGTTATTCATTGCAGTGTTTCTTTAATATGCATGAACTGTATCATTCTACTCTCAGGGTATTTATACCATTAGAACAGTGTATATAGAACAAGTGCACTGCTTTAAGATAGGATTTGATATTATGGATTCACGAAGAGCTGTGTTCCTGCTCTACTCCATCCCATTGAGGCACTTTGTTGGCTTCATATCTATTTGGCTTACTTTTTGCTGCTGTAGGCATTTTTCATCTTCTGCATAGAAAGCACCTTTTCTCTGTTAAAGTTCAGTGCCTTTCAGAAAGATAGTGGCTTAGAAGGGAGGTTGCAAAAGCAAGATAAGAGACTTTTAAAATTAATACAGTAACAGACAAGTCTGAACTGAATCATTTTCTGATATGCTTGCTGAGGAAAAAGTTCAATTGATGGAATTTTAAAAATTCATTCATTGTGCAAAAAGCTGCACTCATCATTTTCAGTTGAAATTGGCCTAAATGTTTATAGTTCTGTTTTTTATTTGATTGGGAGATGTATATAAACCCATTATATTTTCTTCATTGAAGTGTATTTTTAAACATGGTTAAGATATTTTAGCACTCTGAGAAAACTTATTTTGTAATAAATTCCTATTAAATTTTCAGGCCTTCCTGAGTGTAACAGTTTAATGACACTACACATGTTGTAGATTGTATAGCACACATCTTGTCAGTCAGTTGTAAAAAATAATTTTATGCACTAATATGATAGATTATGTAATTTTAATATAAAATTAATAATTGTTTAATGACTGCACCGTTTTTTCTGGCCTTTAAAATTAACTTTTACTTTGTACAACTAAATACATTTGTGTATATTCATATATCTGCTAATTTTAAACTTAAATTATGTCAAGTTTTCCTGTATATAGCCTGAAGACTGTGGTAGATCTTTTGAGTTAGCATAAAATTTTTCAAAAATCTCTTTAAAAAAATGCCTTACAATGTCACACTTCTCTGAATTCAGGATGATAAGATTCAAACTGATACAAAGAAAGTAAGCCCTGTTTGGATATAAAATAATTGCCTAATGTGAAATACACATGATTCAAACCAAAAAAGACTGAAGGCAAGAATTCTTATTTTTTTTAAAAAAAAAAAAGCTTACTTTGCTTTGAAAGTCTCAATTTCTAGTCATATAGGTTTAGAATACTTGAGCAATAACTTTAAACATAGTATGAAAAATGAAAATATGTACAGAGGGTTTCATATGCTATGGGCAACTCACCACTCTCCTTAACTAGTCACTGCAAGTATTACCCCTAAGATATGTTGGGCAAGATGTCATTATTTGTCAAGTGTGTCTCCAGGAACTGCTTCTCTAGATAAAATGTTTTATTTACAGTATTAAATCTTTATCTTTCATAATTCTCTCCAGTATCTAGACAATATTAAAAATGATTGTATGTCAAATAGTATGTATGAAAAGCAGAATAAAAAGTTAACTCATTAGATTAAGGTGGCATAATTATGGATATCTTTAAACTTAAATATTATAGTAATATATTTTAAGACATAAAAATAAACAGTCTAGCTGATTATATTATTAAACACAACTTGATCAATGAGTTGTTTAAAATGCCTAATTATGGGAATTTCTATCCTGGAAAAGAAATTATAGTAACCAGATATATTAATCATGTTCATACTTAGATTGAAGTTAAAAATAGCTTTCTCATAGGAGAAAAAATTGAATGTCTGTGTAATATCACTAAACAAAGCATCCTTTCCATGCCAGCTGTGGGAGGTGTTACTTTTTACTTCTTTTTGGAGCCAGTATATGTAGTCTGCACAAAGGCCCATCACCTAGAGGAAAAATTTTTTTTTTCTCAATAAGCTACCAATTTTCTTGCTAATGCTTATTATTTTTACTTTTTTGTCAGAGTTATTGATAACTACATTTTGCTGGTAATAAGTTAATGGTCTAAATAACTATGCTAACTACAATTATATTTGAGGTGATTATATTAACTATTATTTATTATTTTTTTACGTTGTGACCCAATTGGTGATACTATAAAACTGGAAGATACTCAAGAAATTTTAAGTGCAATTACTATATCGTATAAGTGGAGAAACTTTCTATTCAGAAATGTATAAAAAAATGTCAAGTTATCAGGCAAAATAGCATCAGAATTGAGAGAGATATGATGAATTATGAATTATTGTTTGATTTTTTTCATTGCACTCTAACATCATTTTTCTTTGACTTGTAGTGGAACAAAGTAATTTTTTTCTAATCCTTTGGTTTAGCTGTTGAGAAAATTAAACTACATTTTTATTTATTTATTTATTTTTTGGTGACAGGGGTCTTGCCCTGTCGCACAGGCCGGAGTGCAGTGGAGTGATCAGATTTCACTGCATCCTCCACCTCCTTGGCCAAGGGATCATCCTGTCTCAGCCTCCAGAGGAGCTGGGACTAGAGGTGCATGCAATCATGCAAGGCTAATTTTTAAAAATTTTGGGGGAGAGAGAGAGTCTCACTATGTTGCCCAGGTCGGTCTTGAACTCCTGGGCTCAAGTCATACTCCCACCTCAGTCTCCCAAGGTGCTGGGATTATACCGAGAGTCACTGCACCAGCTAAAGTACAGTTTGAATCAACTTTGTAATGATATAAAACTGTAGAATCTGTGCATCTGCATTCGAACTTTCTTTTTTATTTATTCCAAGTCTACCTATATTTACATTTGAAATGATCTTATATTTATTTTTTATGTTTCTGTACTACCTTATTTAAAATTCTTGGGACCAGATGAGTTTCAGAATTTAAATTACTTTTATGTTTATTTTAGGAAGGAAATTGGAACATATTTTAAATATTCACAACAACTCATAGTCAACTACATTCATATTTCTGCTGCAAAATGTATAAATACTCTAAGTGGAATAAATAAATACCAACATTAAATTTACATGAGTTCTAGTCAGGTTTTGTAGTCAGATCAATGACAGACTGTTTATCTTCAGAAATTTTTGATTTTAAAATTTTTATAGGGATTGTGTAGATGTGGTTGTTTTTCTGAAAAGTTTATATTTAAAGTGAGTAACTAATTTAAAAAAAGGAGAAGTAAATGTACTAGAAGATCAGAATTTTCAAAATAATATAATGGCCAATCCTTGTGCTAAAAAAATTGCCGGGGTAAAGCAAATATTTCTTTTTAATTTCCCTTTCCTAATAGACCATTATTAGTTCCAAGTAGTTAGAAGAAAAGGCTTCAAATTCAAATGCTTGCTTTCTGGGGTAAGTCAGGTAACATAAAGATGTGAAGTGGTCAGATGATTTGTTGAATTAGAGAATGGTAGAGAATTGAAACTGAAAAGAGGATGCTTGTCTAAAGACATTCAGTCTCTCCCTCTCTTTCCTCTCTTCCTTCTCTCTGTCTCCATCTCATAGTACACACACACACACACACACACACACACACACACACACACACACACACAGAGTGAGAGAGAGTGCCGGATGTGATATCTAAGTCAGAAATACATATACATTGTAAGGAAAGATGGAACAGAATTTATTATGAAAAGCTTTATTTCACCTTAAGTGATTTTTCATGTTTAGCTTCTTTGTTGTTGTCATTTACTTTTACTTCCCTAAACAATTTACCTAACCTATCACTGAATTATTCATTTTCTTAGTCAATCAGTCTTTCAACAAATAGTATTACATTTCCACTCTATTGAACAAATGTAAAACTCTGGAAAAATACAAATGAATGAGGCAGTTCATACCTTAAAGATGAGCTAGCCAAGATACAATTAATAATCAGAGGTGAGAGCAAGGTGCTGCAGGAATGCAAAAGATGTGTACTCAACTTAGTCTAAGGATGTCAGAGAAGCACTTGCAGAAGTGATGAAACTATGGTTGGAAGGAGAAAAAAAGTTAATCAAGCAATGAATAGGGCGAGTGTTTTCCAAGCAGAGAGAACACGAGGAAAAAATGCACTGAGTATGAAGGAAGAGGTGTATTTGAGTAACTGAGGGGAATTCCTTATAAAAACAGCCTGAGGGTAAGAAAAAATTATCTCTAGTTTCAAACAATCAGGGCAAAATACAGCTACCTCAATTGTTCAGAATGTTTGAATCTTTGTCACTTCCACATTTTATCCGTCCCCCAGCAGTGACAAAATTCAATACAATTTGAATGTAAATGATACTATTTATGTGTCTGCTCTAGTTATTTTCATTTGTTAGAACATTCTTTGAAATCCCTACACTCTGAGACCACAAACAAACAAACAAAACCTCCTCTGATTATATTTGATAAATGCATGCCAAGGAGAAACAAAAGAAATGCAATAATATATAAAAAGGGAAAACTATAGCAAGAAAAAAAGTGGCTTTAGTTCTTTCTTAAACATAATTTCAGAGTAACTTTACTTCATATTTAAAAGAGAAAATGCAATTTTTATTACAATTGGGATCCAGTGTTATTTTATCATATCAGTGTTTTAATTTTAATATAAACCTCATTGCACTTTAAAACACCAAAATAAAAGTCTAAGATATGCCTTAAAATGTTCATTTTATTGCTATTTGAAGCTGCTGCACAGTAGCAAAATGAAAGAAATTGAATTAAACGAAATTATATATTGCCCTCATTTATTAAAAAATCCCTACAAATGGGGGAAAAATATCTGTTTCAATTGCACCCAAAGTTATGATATGAAAACTATAACAGAGCAACAATATCTTGGAAAATTCATCAGGAGAAACTTCACACTGACCTGGGTAAGACTGCTAATTTAATTTTATCGTTTCAAGTGAAAGTGACTTGAAACCAAGGGAGACTAATTTGAACAGTAAGCTTGATAGCAAATGCCTCAGTACATTATGCAGATAATAACAGCTCCCATGTGGATAATAGAAGTTAGCAAGAGTACTGAAAATTACACTTTTTTTCTTGCCATAGTGAAAATGAACAGATATTGAATCTTATCTCCTTATCCACATACTAAAATAGAAATTGCTTTCCAGGTTTTACTAATTTTACTGACAGGATATTATGTGAAGGATTTTTTCTCTTATGCATTTATTTTGATTTAATTTAAAAGTACACCCAGAAGCAATATTTGAAAGTTATAAAAAATCAGAAAAGGAAAATTCTAGTCATGTACACATCTATGATTTCATATGGCTTTATCAGCAGCATTCATTATGATATCCAAAAATAAAGTCTGAAGATTTCTCTTCCAAATGAGTCTATATTAAGCAAAAGATATTCTGCTGCCTCTTTGAGAAACCGAATGTATCTGAAACTAATGTGAACGGCTAAACCACACACACAAACCTTACACTGTCAAATACCATAAATGCCATTATGAATAAGTTTGAGATGTTTAATATTTGCATGAGTTTAAATTAGTTGAGTAAATTATACTTCAAATAAAAGTAAGACTTTCATGTCTACAATATAGAGTTTTAAAAGAAATCAGCCACTGGGAGAGATTATATAGCTACATACTGTGGGAGCCTGAAAGACAGTTCAATAGCACAAACCTTCTAAGAGCACTTCAGTAAAATGAACACGAGACTCACTCAAGTCTTGTGACTCTGAGTCAGTTTGTTCAAATCAGTCTCTTAATGATGTCTGATGTACTCTTAGGAGAGTTATCATTATGTTTATTTTTTATATCTCTAAGTTTATAAGATTTTGTGCTCTTTTTCTCCTTTTAGTGAATATTTAGTGAATATACTTACTATGGCATAATAGTCAACTGAACCCTTCCCACTGAATGTGATGATAAAGTCTAAAGCTTTTTGAAAGGAGAGAGGGTGATACACATTAGTTCTTTTAATATAAATGTTAAAACTGAAAATTTGTGCTCATTCCCAAGTTGGAACAAGACAGTTTTCTTTTTGAGACAAAGTCTTGCTCTGTCACTCAGGCTGGAGTGCAGTGGTGCCATCTCGGCTCACTGCAGCCTCCACCTCCCAGGGGTAAGTGATTCTCCTGCCTCAGCCTCCCGAGTAGCTGGGATTACTGGCACTCGCCACAACACCGGGTAATTTTTGTATTTTTAGTAGAGATGGGTTTTTGCCATGTTGGCCAGGCTGGTCTTGAACTCCTGACCTCAGGTGATCCGCCTACCTCAGCCTCCCAAAGTGTTGGGATTATAGGCGTGAGCCACTGCGCCCAGCCTCTGAGCTCTGTTTTCTATCTTTCTAATTACCTCCTTCATATCCTTTTGGTAAATGACGAATCATATATACAGTCAGCAGCAGAGATCCTGATACTTCAGTGAATGGTAGCACTGAAAGCCTCATTTTGTAATTTTGCTTTTTAATTTGTCATCTTTCTTCTTAGTTAGGAGAACAGTCAAGTTTGCAATTTATTCTGTTCTTCCTTGATAGAAAGGAATTTATCTCATATTTGTCAGACTGCATGTTTGTTTTACATAAGATTTTACAATTTTTAGTTCTCCTTTCTTTTAAACACATATTTAGTAGAGTTTGTATTTTGTGCCAGGTTCAGTGCTGGGCACAGACAAGGTCTCTGTCCATATGGTGCTAATACTCTTGAGGGAAGGATAGGTACAGAATAGAGGAACCACAGATGAAGTTGTAATTTTATATTGTGTTGTAGTGAGATGAACACTGGTGGGGTTAGCCTTATTAGGAGGAGAAATAACTTTTAAATTGTAACAGGAGGGAAGAAGGATAGCGTAATGAATGTAGAGGCAAGTGAGTTTGTAGGTGGTGGTAGCAGAAGCCACTTCCAGATTTTTAAAACTACTGTTCATTTATTTTTGTTTTTGATTGTTTTTTAAGACATTATTGTTCGGGCATAAAAAATGACTTTGTTTTCACTTGTATATTTTCCTTGACATCTTTAGAGTTCACGTCTAATTTTAATATAAGTATTATTATTTATGTATGATTCCCTTATATTATGAAATCGGTATTTGCAAGTGCTAATTGAAATGAATACGTTATTTTGTCAGTATCTGACTTATTTAATTATATTAATTACATTTCAAGTCTATTTATTAGGAGAATTGATTTATAGAAACTTCCTTTATGTAAAACGTTGACTCTGGCCAGGCGCCGTGGCTCACACTTCTAATCCCAGCTTTGCGAGTCTGAGGCAGGCAAATCACCCGAGATGAGGAGTTTGAGACCAGCCTGGTCAACAAGTGAAACCCCTTCTCTACTAAAAAATACAAAAATTAGCTGGGCGTGGTGCTACGTGCCTGTCATCCCAGCTACTTAGGAGGCTGAGGCAGGAGAATCGCTTGATCCCAGCAGGCAGAAGTTGCAGTGAGCCGAGATTGCACCACTGCACTCCAGCCTGGATGACAGAGTGAGACTCTGTCTCAAAGAAAACAAAACAAAAAAAACCTTTGATTCTTTTACTGTGTCCAATGTATGGTAATTGCATTAAATATTCCTACTGCAGTTCTTTTCTTCTTAGAGGGCAGTAGATCTAGGCACTTTCTGCTTCGAGAGAAAGCTACATATATCTTAGGAACAAGGAGTTACACATTGGATATTGACGTGTGAATTGGACCTAGGAAAGTTCACAGGGAAAGCAATTGTTTTTTTTTTTTTTTTTTTTTTGAGACAGGGTTTCGCCTTGTTGCCCAGTTGGAGTGCAGAGCCGCCATCTCAGCTCATTGCAACCTCTGCCTCCCGAGTTCAAGCAATTCTCCTGCCTCAGCCTCTCAAATAGCTGGGATTACAGGCATGCGCCACCATGCCTGGCTAATTTTGTATTTTTAGTAGAGATGGGGTTTCTCCATGTTGGTCAGGCTGATCTCGAACTCCCAACCTCAGGTGATCCGCCCGCCTTAGCCTCCCAAAGCGCTGGGATTACAGGCATGAGCTAGGGTGCCTGGCCTGCAAATTTTTTTTTTTTTAAGACAGAGTCTCGCTCTGTCACCCAGGGTGGAATGCAGTGGCACGATCTTGGCTCACTGCAACCTCCGCCTCCCAAGTTCAAGCGATTTTTGTGCCTCAGCACTACAGGTGCATGCCTCCACGCTCAGTTAATTTTTGTATTTTTAGTAAAGATGGGGTTTCTCCATGTTGGCCGGGCTGGTCTCAAACTCCTGACCTCAAGTGATCTCCCTGCCTTGGCCTCCCAAAGTGCTGGGATTACAGGCATAAGCCACCGTGCCCAGCCGAAAGCAAATATTTTATGGAGCCAATATAAGTACTATTATTATGTGATTAGTCACTTAAAAATTCAGCTTTAAAAATAATTGTTTAAGGTGAATATAGCGAGCCATTTGACCATAAGGGACAGATAATTCTGCTTTGTTCTACTTTGTTAAATAGATTTCTTAAAGCTCCCTTGGTGTTACTCATTTTGGTAATTTCAGATTCATATGGTTTTCATTCAGTTATGATTAAACTATCTTAAAAGTTTTCCTTAGATTGTATATTGAAAATGCTGAATTATTGTAATTATTTGTAAGATTTTTACTTGTACACTAAAGCAACTTAGTTTATCTTACGGAATTGCAGTGATAGCTATTCTGAGTACATAGTTGATGATTTGGGACAAAATTGTCAAATAGATTTAAAGTATTTTTCTTTATTGCAAAAGAATTAATATAGTAACAAAGTCTAAGAATATAGAAGGCACCATCCATTCCCGCTTTTCAGAAGTAACAATAGTTGGTGGTTTGTGCTTCCAAGGCCTATAACATAGGGGGTGGGATTAAAGAACAGAAATGGGGGTTATAATTGACCATATGTCATTTTGCTCCAGTCATTTTATTTTATTTTTTTAAAACCAGGTGTCTGCTTTGGGTCTGGATCCCTCAGGTGCCCGTTTGGTGACAGGAGGATATGACTCTGATGTTAAGTTTTGGGATTTTGCTGGAATGGATGCTTCTTTTAAGGCATTTCAATCCCTTCAGCCCTGTGAGTGGTATGCATTCACTTACTTAATATCTTCATATTTGACTTAGTATCTTCACATTGGAAGACAGTGCTATTGGCTTTGGAATCCCATCTACAAGGATTTGTATCAAAATACATTATGTTTATATGACTGTATACTGCCTTCATAATTTAAATGAAGTAAAATGAGCCTTACATTTCTTTTGTTTCATAAACTTATATTTTAGGCTGGGCGCGGTGGCTCACACTTGTAATTCCAGAACTTTAGAAAGCCGAGGCAGGCGGATCACCTGAGGCCTGGAGTTTGAGACCAGAATGGACAACATGGCAAAAGCCCGTCTCTACTAAAATTACAAAAATTAGCTGGGCGTGGTGGCGCATGACTGTAATCCAGCTACTCGGGAGGCTGAGGCAGGAGAATTGCTTTAGCCTGAGAGGTGGAGGTTGCAGTGAGCTGAGATTGTGCCACTGCACTCCAGCCCAGCAACAGAGAGAGACTCCGTCTCAAAAAACATTGCAAAAGGCTGGGCACAGTGGCTCATGCCTGTAATCCTAGCACTTTGGGAGGCCAAGGTGGGCGGATCACCTGAGGTCAGGAGTTCAAGACCAGCCTGTCTAACATGGTGAAACTCCATCTCTACTAAAAATATAAAAACAAGCCAGGCATGGTGGCTCATGCCTGTAATCCCAGCTACTTCGGAGGCTGAGGCAGGAGAATCGCTTGAACCCGGGAGGCGGAGGCTGCAGTGAGCCAAGATTGCGCCACTGCACTCCATCCTGGGCGACAGAGCAAGACTCCATCTCAAAACAAAAAAATTAAAAAAACAAAAAAATAGTTTGTTTTAAAACATTCCAATTAATCCCGAGAAATGAGAAATTAACATATGGTAAGCCATTAACCAGGTACCAGTCCATTTTGTACTGTTTAGGTATGGTCGGCTAGCATTATGTTAGAAAGGGCCTTCCATGTTGCTACAATGAGCCAGCCTTTCTCTTTTTTTTTTTTTTTTTTTTTTTTTTTTTGAGACAGGCTCTGGCTCTGTTGCCCAGGCTGGAGTGCAGTGGCGAGATCTTGGCTCACTGCAACCTCTGCTTCCTGGGCTCAAGACATCCTCCCACCTCAGCCTCTCAAATAGCTGGGACTATATGGGTGTGCACCACCATGCCTGGATAATTTTTGTATTTTTTTGGTAGAGATGGGGTTTCACCATGTAGTCCAGGGTGGTCTCAAACTCCTGATCTCAAGTAATCCACCTGCCTCGTCTTCCCAAAGTGCTGGGATTACAGGCATGAGCCACCGCGCCTGGCCCATAAGCCACTCTCTTTTCTGTTTTTGACCATATCTGATCTTTTGGCATATTGCTTTCTTATGGTATCGTTTAACTCAGCGGTCCCCAATCTTTTTTGAACCAGTGCCTGGTTTTGTGGAAGACAATTTTTCCATGGACTAGGGGTAGCGTGGAGGTCGGGGTGGTGGGATGGTTTCCGGATGAAACTGTTCTATCTCAGATCATCAGGCATTAGATTCTAATATGGATTGTGCAACCTAGAGATCCCTCGCATGTGCATTTCACAGTAGGGTTCGTACTCCTACGAGAATTGAATGCCATTGTTGATCTGACAGGAGCCGGAGCTCAGGTGATAATGCTTGCTCACTCTCCCAACATCTGCTGTGCACCTGGTTCCTAACAGGCCATAGACTGATACCAGTCCATGGCCTGGGCTTTGGGGACTCCTGACTTAACTTGTTTCTTTATCTCCTCTCCAATATTTCCTGTGGAATATCAAAGGCTTTATCAGAATTATATTGTATTACTTCAGATGGCAAGTATTGTCTAGTTGTTTCACTGTTAGTGACTAGAAATTAAGGTAAATCCCTGGATTAAGGTAGTGACGTCTGATTCCTTCATTGTAAAGTTAATATTTTATACTTGAGATAGGCAAGAACTTCGTAGAGAGATAGTTTGGTACTATGTAACTATCCAGATACTCATCATTCTTTCACTTAATGAGCTTAGTGTCCATTGATGATTTCTTCCTGAATCGGTTATGTCACCGAGGGCTACAAATTGGTGATTTTCCTATTCTGTTATTTCATCTGCCTTTATTTCCTGGCATCTTCTTAAAGAAAAACTTTTCCATCGATGTTCATTAGGGATATTGGTCTAAAATTCTCTTTTTTTGTGTGTCTCTGCCAAAATCCTCAATAAAATACTGGCAAACCAAATGCAGCAGCACATCAAAAAGTTTATCCACCATGATCAAGTGGGGTTCATCCCTGGGATGCAAGGCTGGCTCAACATACGCAAATCAGTAAATGTAATCCAGCATATAAACAGAACCAAAGACAAAAACCACTTGATTATCTCAGTAGATGCAGAAAAGGCCTTTGACAAAATTCAACAGCCCTTCATGCTAAAAACTCTCAATAAATTAGGTATTGATGGGACGTATCTCAAAATAATAAGAGCTATTTATGAGAAACCCACAGCCAATATCATACTGAATGGGCAATAACTGGAAGCATTCCCTTTGAAAACTGGCACAAGACAGGGATGCCCTCTCTCACCACTCCTATTCAACATAGTGTTGGAAGTTCTGGCCAGGCAATCAGGCAGAAGAAAGAAATAGAGGATATTCAATTAGAAAAAGAGGAATTCAAATTGTCCCTGTTTGCAGATGACATGATTGTATATTTAGAAGACCCCATTGTCTCAGCCCCAAAACTCTTTAAGCTGATAAGCAACTTCAGCAAAGTCTCAGGATACAAAATCATTGTGCAAAAATCACAAGCATTCTTATACACCAATAACAGACAAACAGAGAGCCAAATCATGAGTGAACTCCCATTCACAGTTGCTACAAAGAGAATAAAATACCTAGGAATGCAACTTACAAGGTATGTGAAGGACCTCTTCAAGGAGAACTACAAACCACTGCTCAACGAAATGAAAAAGGACACAAAGAAATGGAAGAACATTCCATGCTCATGGATAGGAAGAATCAATATCATGAAAATGGCCATACTGCCCAAGGTAGTTTATAGATTCAATGCCATCCCCATCAAACTACCAATGACTTTCTTCACAGAATTGGAAAAAACTACTTTAAAGTTCATATGGAACCAAAAAAGAGCCCACATCACCAAGACGATCCTAAGCCAAAAGAACAAAGCTGGAGGCATCACGCTACCTGACTTCAAACTATACTACAAGGCTACGGTAACCAAAACAGCGTGGTACTGGTACCAAAACAGAGATATAGACCAATGGAACAGAATAGAGGCCTCAGAAATAATACCACACATCTACAACCATCTGATCTTTGACAAACCTGACAAAAACAAGAAATGGGGAAAGGATTCCCTATTTAATAAATGATGCTGGGAAAACTGGCTAGCCATATGTAGAAAGCTGAAACCGGATCCTTTTCTTATACCTTATACAAAAATTAATTCAAGAGGGATCAAAGATTTAAATGTTAGACCTAAAACCATAAAAACCCTAGAAGAAAACCTAAGCAATACCATTCAGGACATAGGCACGGGCGAGGACTTCATGTCTAAAACACCAAAAGCAATGGCAACAAAAGCCAAAATTGACAAATGGGATCTAATTAAACTCAAGAGCTTCAGCACAGCAAAAGAAACTATCATCAGAGTGAACAGGCAACCTACAGAATGGGAGGAAATTTTTGCAACCTACCCATCTGACAAAGGGCTAATATCCAAAACCTACAAAGAACTCAAACAAATTTACAAGAAAAAAAACCCCATGAAAAAGTGGGTGAAGGATATGAACAGACGCTCCTCAAAAGAAGACATTTATGCAGCCAACAGACACATGAAAAAATGCTCATCATCACTGGCCATCAGAGAAATGCAAATCAAAACCACAATGAGATACCATCTCACACCAGTTAGAATGAAGATCATTAAAAAGTCAGGAAACAACAAGTGCTGGAGAGGATGTGGAGAAATAGGAACACTTTTACACTGTTGGTGGGACTGTAAACTAGTTCAACCATTGTGGAAGTCAGTGTGGCGATTCTTCAAGGATCTAGAACTAGAAATACCATTTGATCCAGCCATCCCATTACTGGTTATATACCCAAAGGATTATAAATCATGCTGCTATAAAGACACATGCACACATATGTTTATTGTGGCACTATTTGCAATAACAAGGACTTGGAACCAACCAAAATGTCCATCAATGATAGACTGGATTAAGAAAATGTGGCACATATACACCATGGAATACTATGCAGCCATAAAAAACGATGAGTTCATGTCGTTTGTAGGGACATGGATGAAGCTGAAAACCATCATTATCAGCAAACTATCGCAACAACAGAAAACCAAACACCGCATGTTCTCACTCATAGGTGGGAATTGAACAATGAGATCACATGGTCACAGGAAGTGGAACATGACACACCGGGGCCTGTCGTGGGGTGGGGGGAGGGGGGAGGGATAGCATTAGGAGATATACCTAATGTAAATGACGAGTTAATGGGTGCAGCACACCAACATGGCACAGGTATACACATATGTAACAAACCTGCACGTTGTGCACATGTACCCTAGAACTTAAAGTATAATTAAAAAAGAAAAAAAGAAAAACTTTTCCTCATTAACTGATGTTATTTGGTTACCCTGAAATATAGTTACTACTGAAGAGGCAGGATAAAAGCTTAGTTATCTTTCTTTAATTGCCCATTTTTAGCTTAAGGGCTGGTGGTGATAAATGAGTTGTTTCTGTTATTGGTGATGATTTCTTTTTCTTTTTTGAGTATCAGTCTTTACGATTTTTAAATTTTCATGTTTCAGTCAATTGCAGTCATTATTCTTTTTGATGTTTAAATTGTCCTAGATTTGTCTAGTAGGAGTCCTTGATTGCTGTATAATTTTGACATGACCTTATTAGTCTTTAAAACTTTCTTGGTTTCTGGCACAATATGATGTAGGCTTCCTGTTACATTCCTTTCCAAGTCCTGGAATCAGTACTTCGCCGAGTAGCCCGTCTTTCTTTTTGTGGGAATGGTATTTAGAGACCAAATCTGGTTGCTAGGCATGCTCATTGATATTGGGATGTCATTGCTTTTGACCTTTTGATGGAAAGAGGTAGAAAATATAGATGCGTATGTATTCATGCATATATGTGTCTATGTTTAAATTACAAGGTCACTTTGATATTTCTATTTCAATTTCAAAATATTTAGTAAACTTTTAAATTTCAGAATATTTTTAAATTTATAGATAAGCTACAAAGATAGTACAGAGTTTATGCATACACTTCACCCAGTTTTTCTTTTTTTTTTTTTTTTTTTTTTTTTTGAGACGGAGTCTCGCTCTGTCGCCCAGGCCGGACTGCGGACTGCAATGGCGCAATCTCGGCTCACTGCAAGCTCCGCTTCCCGGGTTCACGCCATTCTCCTGCCTCAGCCTCCCGAGTAGCTGGGACTACAGGCGCCCGCCACCGCGCCCAGCTAATTTTTTGTATTTTTAGTAGAGACGGGGTTTCACCTTGTTAGCCAGAATGGTCTCGATCTCCTGACCTCAAGATCCACCCGCCTCGGCCTCCCAAAGTGCTGGGATTACCGTCGTGAGCCACCGCGCCCGGCCAGTTTTTCTTATGATTAACATCTTATGGTCCATTTGTCACAATTAAGAAACTAACATTAGTCAGTTACTATTAATTAATCTCCAAACTTTATTTGGATTTCACGCCTGGCTAATTTTTTGTATTTTTAGTAGAGACAGGGTTTCACCACGTTGGCCAGGCTGGTCTCGAACTCCAGACCTCAAATGATCTGCCCGCCTTGGCTTCCCAAAGTGCTGGGATTACAGGCGTTAGCCACTGTGCCTGGCCAACAATATATATTAAATAAGCACACATACAACAAAAGTAGGTGTTGGTAAGCTTACAAAAATATGACCAGTAGCTTGCTGAAACCTAACTTTTTATTTGTTCATGGAACTTTCTAGACCGTAACTACACTGAATAATGAGAATCTGCTGTAATCTTTTTAGGTGCTGTAGATGAGCCATTGGATTAAATTATTACAGTATGTTTCAGACTGCTCTATGTTGAACCCTAGTGAAATGCCTCTCAAACCCTCATAAGGATCACAATCTCATGTCCTTTTTTTTGTTATTAAATGCCCAGTATGTGTTAGCGATTTAAACAAAATTCAAATATAATTTTTTTTTTTTTGAGACAGAGTCTCGCTCTGTCACCTAAGCTGGAGAGTGCAGTGGCATGATCTCGGCTCACTACAACCTCTGCCTCCCGGGTTCAAGCAATTCTCCTGCCTCAGCATCCTGAGTAGCTGGGATTACAGGTGCCCGCCACCACGCTGGGCTAATTTTTGTATTTTTAGTAGAGACGGGGTTTCGCCAGGTTGTCCAGGCTGGTCTGGAACTCCTGACCTCATGTGACCTGCCTGCCTTGGCCTCCTAAAGTGCTGGGATTATAGGCGTGAGCCACCATGCCCGGTGTTGACTTTTTAATAATAACCATTCTGACTGGTGTGAGATGGTATACCATTGTGGTTTTGATTTGCATTTCTCTAATGATCAGTGATATTGAGCTTTTTTTCATATGCTGGTTGGCCGCATGTGTGTCTTCTTTTGAAGTGTCTGTTTATGTCCTTTGCCCACTTTCTAATGAGATTTGTCTTTTCTTGTAAATTTGTTTAAGTTCCTTATCAGTGTTGGACATTAGATCTTTGTCACGTGCATTGTTGCAAAAATTTTCTCCCATTCTGTAGGTTGTCTGTTCACTCTGTTGATAGTTTCTTTTGCTGTGCAGAAGCTTCAAGAAGAAAGGAATCCGATTGGTTCTGTGTCTGTCTCTTTTGGTATTCTCAGACTTATGTAGTCATCCATATAGAAAGATGATTAGGAAAATAGGACAAGAATAGCAGAAATCTACATAAAAATGTAGGAAATTAAAATTAGTTACCAGCACACAAAAAACTACTATATGTTATAATTACATACTATAACTCACCCCTCCTTGCCAAATATTCTCTCTCTTTTGACTTCAAAATCATGGCTTATATGTACTTTCTGTATTTCCCAGATGCAAATATAATTAATTGACTTTATGTAGGAAATGTTACTGATATCTTAATTGTAGTCATTGGCTTGAGTGACGAGTTTTGGTAATTCAACTACTATTACTTGAAAGTAGTAGATTTCATAGGATACTGTTATAAAATCTTTTTAACCTCTTTTCTGATTTCAGGAGTAATTAGTAATTGTGGTTTACTGGAAAATTCAATGAATAGGGTGTTAAAGGAAGCAATTCATTAATAATATATCTAATCTATTGGGAGACTGAGGCGGTTGGATCACCTGAGTTCAGGAGTTCGAGACCAGCCTGGCCAACATGGCAAAACTCCGTCTCTACTAAAAATACAAAAATTCGCCGGTCATGGTGGTGCATTCCTGTATTCCCAGGTACTCGGAAGGCTGAGGCAGGAGAATCACCTGAACTCCAGAGGTGGAGGTTGCAGTGAGTCAGGATCGCAGCACTACACTCCAGCCTGGGTGACAGAGTGAGACTCCATCTCAAAAAAAAAAAATAATAATTAAATTAAAAAAAAGCGGGCCGGGCGCATTGGTTCAGGGCCGGGCACGGTGGCTCAAGCCTGTAATCCCAGCACTTTGGGAGGCTGAGGCAGGCGGATCACAAGGTCAGGAGATCAAGACCATCCTGGCTAATGTGGAGAAACCCCGTCTCTACTAAAAATACAAAAATTAGCTGGATGTGGTGGCAGGTGCCTGTAATCCCAGCTATTACAGAGGCTGAGGCAGGAGAATCACTTGAACCTGGGAGGCAGAGGTTTCAGTGAGTCCAGATCATGCCACTGCACTCCAGCCTGGGCGACAGAGCGAGATTCTATCTCAAAAAAAAAAAAAAAAAAAGCAACAGAAGCAAATGAGAGTGCCTGGAAGTGGTCATTGTGGGGCATTCCCATTTGTGTGACCCAGGTCATGTCCCTCCCTAAGCCCTGGTCTCTCTTGCCTCCTGCAGGGCTGGTGAATTACCAGATCTCCGTCAAGTGCAGTAACCAGTTCAAGTTGGAAGTGTGTCTTTTGAATGCAGAAAACAAGGTCGTGGACAACCAGGCTGGGACCCAGGGCCAGCTGAAGGTGCTGGGTGCCAACCTCTGGTGGCCATACCTGATGCACGAACACCCCGCCTACCTGTACTCGTGGGAGGTAATGGTGGTTTGGGACTTGCTTAAGGGAGGTCTTTTGCCCCCATCTGGTAGCCCTGGCTTCAGCAGGATCCCAGGACAGGTGAATGGGCAGGTGTGGTCCTCTGAGCTTTCTGATGTTTCCCACCCTTGGTGGGAGGCCCAGATTTTTTATTTATTTATTTACTTATATTTATTTATTTATTTATTTATTTTTTGTGATGGTCTCACTCTGTCACCCAGGCTGGAATGCAATGGCCTGATCACAGCTCACTGCAGCTTTGAGCTGCAATCCTCCTACCTTGGCCTCCTGAGTAGCTGGGACTACAGGCACATGCCACCATGCCTGGCTAATTAAAAAAATTTTTTTTGTAGGCCGGGCATGGTGGCTCACGCCTGTAATCCCAGCACTTCGGGAGGCCGATGCGGGCGGATCACTTTAGGCCAGGAGTTGGAGACCAGCCTGGCCAACATGGTGAAACCCCGTCTCTACTAAAATAGGAAAATTTGCAGGGCATGATGGTGCACGTCTGTAATCCCAGCTACTCGGGAGGCTGAGGCAGGGTAATTGCTTGAACCTAGGAGGCAGGGGCTGTGGTGAATTGAGATCATGCCACTGCACTCTATCCTGGGTGACAGAGTGAGACTGTCTCCAAAAACAATCCTTTTTATAGAGTTGGGGTCTTACTCTGTTGTCCAGGCTGGTCTTGAACTCCTGAACTCAAGTGATCCTCCTGCCTTAGCCTCCCAAAGTGTAGGGATTCCAGGCATGAGCCATCTCGTCTGGTCAAGGAGAAGGCCCGATTTTGAAGGGCAGGTCCCAGGGTCAGCCAGTGAAGGGCAGAGCCTCTGATTGCTGCTTCTCTGCAGGCCCAGAGGTGACTGCTGGGGTACATGCACGAGGGGTCTTCCTGCTGTAGGGCAGGCCAGATGGGGCTCAGGCTGTCGGGGCGCTCACACCTGGCACTTTGGCTGTCGTAGGTGTGGCTGACTGCACAGAAGTCACTGGGGCCTTTGACTTCTACACACTCCCTGTGGGGCTCCGCACTGTGGCCGTCACCGAGAGCCAGTTCCTCATCAGCGGGAAACCTTTCTATTTCCACGGCGTCAAGCATGAGGATGCGGACGTGCGTTGGGGCTCCTGGGTCGTCGTGGGGGCTGCTTCTGG
The DNA here is from genome assembly GCF_000001405.40 of Homo sapiens. Taxonomy (NCBI): domain Eukaryota; kingdom Metazoa; phylum Chordata; class Mammalia; order Primates; family Hominidae; genus Homo; species Homo sapiens. Next base: position 100,066,620 of record NC_000005.10, on the reverse strand, counting down.
TCACCTTCCACTTTAGCCTTCCCTGTGTCCTGCAGTTGAGGGCAGCTCAAGGCAATGAGGCAAATGGCTCCAAACCACCCCATGGTGGAGCCGGTGCTTGGGCTGGAGAGGGGACCTCATGGGGTGGTTCTCCAGGGTCCTGGCTCTCAGAGGAAGTGCCGCTTCGACAGGGACAGGGGTCACTCGGCTCTGCTGTCCCCTAGATCCAAGGGAAGGGCTTCGACTGTCCGCTGCTGGTGAAGGACTTCAACCTGCTTTGCTGGCTTGGCGCCAACACCTTCTGCACCAGCCACTATCCCTACACGGAGGAGATGCTGCAGATATGTTACCGGTATGGGATTGTGGTCATCGATGAGTGTCCTGCTGTGGGCCTGATGCTGCCATGAGTCCCTGCTGCGCACCCGCTCTGCCTGGCCAGCCCTCGGGCCACACTGTGACCCTCTGTCCCTTCCCTTCTGGCCCGCTGGCAACTCTTCAACAACGTGTCTATGCATCACCATATGTGGGTGGTGGAGGAACCGGTGCTCAGAGACAAGAACCACCCCGCCATGGTGATGTGGTCCGTGGCCAACGAGCCTGCGTCCTTCCTGGAATCTGCCGGCTACTCCTTCAAGTGAGTGCCCGCTGCCTGCCCTGGGCTGGATCAGGCAGGAGACCCTGGCAGATGGCAGACTGTGGTGGACGTGTGCTATTGGAGATCAGCATCCTGTCCCAGCCCAATGGGAGGGCCGTCCATACCCAGACGGTTCAGGGAACTAAATATCTACCCACCCAAATTGTGGTTTTCTTTTTCTATTTTTTTGAGATGGAGTTTCGCTCTGTCGCTCAGGCTGGAGTGCAGTGGCACGATCTCGGCTCATTACAACCTCAGCCTCCTGGGTTCAAGTGATTCTTCTGCCTCAGCCTCCTGAGTAGCTGGGATTACAGGCACAAATGAGCCACTGCGCTTGGCCTGTTTTTTTTTTGAAACAGGGTCTCACTCTGGTTGCCCAGGCTGGAGTACAGTGGCATGATCTCAGTTCACTGCAGCCTCGACTTCCCAGGCTCAGGTCATCTTTCTGCCTCAGCCTCCCAAGTAGCTGGGATTATAGATGTGTGCCACCACGCCCAGCTAACTTTTGCTTTTTTTTTTTTTTTTTTTTTGACGAAGTCTTGCTCTGTTGCCCACACTGGAGTGCAGTGGTGCGATCTCGGCTCACTGCAACCTTCACTTCCCAGGTTCAAGCGATTCTCCTGCCTCAGCCTCCTAAGTAGGTGGGACTACAGGTGCGTGCCACCATGCCTGGCTAATTTTTGTATTTCTAGTAGAGACAGGGTTTCACCATGTTGGCCAGGATGGTCTCCATCTCTTGACCTTGTGAGCCACCCACCTCGATCTCCCAAAGTTCTGGGATTACAGGCGTGAGCCACCGTGCCCGGCCAACTTTTGCATTTTTTGTAGAGACAGGGTTTCACCATGTTGGCCAGGCTGGTCTTAGATTCCTGACCTCAGGTGATCCGCCTGTCTCGGCTTCCCAGAGTGCTGAGATGATAGGCGTGAGCCACTCTGCCCGGCTCATTTTTGTATTTTTTAGTAGAGACGGGGTTTTACCATGCTGGCCAGGCTGGCCTTGAACTCCTGGCCTCCGGTGATCTGCCTGCCTCATCCTCCCAAAGTGCTGGGATTACAGTTGTGAGCCACCAGTCCTGCCCAACTTTTCTTCCTTACAATTGTGCAGTTCTAACTCGGCATTCAGAGGTGGAGTTTTCATTTGCGGTAGAGGCAGCAGAGGTTGTAGAAATGCTCCTTGAGGCAGATGCCACACCCCAATTTCATGGAGTGCTTTGGGCTGAGCCGAGTCTGCAGCAGGCAGAAGGCTCTGAGATGTTGTCCCAGCCTGGGCAAAGGACAATTCAGAGCTCGGGGGAATAGGGGTGTGCTCAGCACGACTGGGTGGACAGGCCCTTTGTTGTGAATAGTACAGGCTTCCAGGAACAGGTGCCTGAGGCTTCCAGACAGGCTTCTTTGGGAGGTGGCCAGAGGAGATGCCTGTTTCCGGGGCAGGAAATGGAGGGAGTGCCCAGGCTGGAGAGGTTCAGCCAGGCTGTCACAAGGCTCTGAAGCTTCCCATCTGAGAGCCTGGCTGTTGGAGAGTGTGGGTTTGGAACTTGAGGCTAGGAGGTTCTGTTCTGTCCTGTGCCAGCCACAGCCTTCGGATGGGCAGAGCAATGATGGGGGGAAGATGTAAAAGAAAGGAACTGAGGAAAGAAGAAGAAAACCAGATTCAACAACAGTCTAGGCCGGATGCAGTGGCTCACGCCTGTAATCCCAGCAGTTTGGGAGGCTGAGGTGGGTGGATCACCTGAGGTTAGGAGTTTGAGACCAGCCTGGTCAACAGGTAGTGAATCCGTCTCTACTAAAAATACAAAAATTAGCTGGGCATGGTGGTGGACGTCTGTAATCCCAGCTACTAGGTAGGCTGAGGCAGGAGAATCGCCTCAGGTGAACCGGGAGGCAGAGATTGCAGTGAGCTGAGATAATGCCACTGCATTCCAGCCTGGGCTACAGAATGAGACTCTGTATCTCAAAAAAACAACAACAAAAAACAAAACAAAACAGTCTGTTCTGTGGAGGCCTTGGGCAGATGCTGGGAGCTCTGAGCATGGACTGGTCCCTCTGTTGGGAGCCTCTTCCCTTCATCCTGCCTGGTTAACTTGACTCAGCGTAAAGGCCATTTCTTCTAAGAGCCTGTCCCTGACTCTCCAATCCGGGATGTGTCTGTTGTCTCATAGAGTGCCCAATTCCTGCCACCACTTGTCATTTCCATTTGCAACATTTCTTTCATTGTTTGTATTTCAGAGTCAGGGTCTCACTCTGTTGCCCAGGCTGGAGTGCAGTGGTGCAATCACAGCTCGTTGCCATCTCGACCTCCTGGGCTTAAGCGATCCTCCACTCAGCCTCCCAAATAGCTGGGACCACAGACGTGTGCTGCCTTGCCAGGGTAAATTTTAATATTTTTTTTCCCCACGAGTCAGAGTCTTGCTCTGTTGCCCAGGCTGGAGAGCAGTGTTGCGATCTTGGCTCACTGCATCCTCTAACTCCTGGGTTCAAACAGTTCTCCTGCCTCACCCTCCCGAGTAGCTGGGATTACAGGCTCACACCACCATGCCCAGCTAGTTTTCTTCTTTATTTTTTGTTGAGATGGGGTTTCACCATGTTGGCCAGGCTGGTCTCGAACTCTTGACGTCGTGATCCACCTGCCTCGGCCTCGCAAAGTGCTCACAGGCTTGAGCCACCATGCCCAGCCCTAATTTTTAAATTTGTTGTAGAAACAAGGTCTTGCTATGTTGCCCAGGCTGGTCTGAAGCGCCTGGTCTCAAGTAAGCCTCCCAAAGTGCTGGGGTTCTAGGCGTGAGCCACCTCGCCTGGCACTTGCACTGTTTTCCTGTGCATGCATCTCCACTCCCACTGCCCAGGACCTGTGGACTTAGATTTGAGTCATTACTGAGCACCTAGCACCCAGCCCCGTGCCTACTTCCCACCTCGCACTACCTGTTTGCTTGATGCATTAATAAATATTCCACCTGAATCCACAGCCCATTCACTCCTGTGTTCAAGAGCTATTTCAGGAAGTGAACCTCATTTTCGGCAGTGTTCAGTCCAGTGACCTCAGCTGTGTGTACCCGGCAGGGTGGCTACGCCTCTGGGGGAGTTGGATTCAGGGGTGGGGGAGAAAGAGTGTTGTTAGAGAGCTCGGTCTAGGACTAGAGGAACGTGCCCTTATGTAAAACACATCTCAAGTTAGGGAAGAAAGCAGCGGCTCTGTGCTTTGTGTTTTTTTTTTTTTCTTTTCTTTCTTTCTTTTTTTTTTTTTTTTTTTGTTTGTTTGTTTGTTTTGGGGCAGGGTCTTGCTCTGTGGCCCAGGCTGGAGTGCAGTAGCCTGATTTCGGCTCACTGCAACCTTCACCTCCCGGATTCAAGCAATTCTTGTGCCTCAGCCTCCCGAGTAGCTGGAGTTACAGATGCGTGCCACTATGCCTGGCTAATTTTTGTATATTTAGTAGAAATGGGGTTTTGCCATGTTGGCCAGGCTGTTCTTGAACTCCTGACCTCAGTGATCTACCTGCCTCAGCCTCCTGAAGTGCTGGGATTACAGATGTGAGCCATCGTGCCTGGCCCCCAGTTGTGTTCTGACAGGGGAAGATGGGACAGAGAGGATGGGAGGGTGTCTGAGCCTTTCCCAGACTGACGGAACCTGTGTCTTCTCTCTTTTGTGGACAGGATGGTGATTGCTCACACCAAAGCCTTGGACCCCTCCCAGCCTGTGACCTTTGTGACCAACTCCACCTACGCAGCAGACAAGGGGGTGAGCCTGGGGGTCCCCACCCCATTTCTCCCTGCCTTTGCCTGGGCTTGTCCTGAAGCCTGCTCATGGGAACAGCTGGAAAGAGCCATGTGCTGCCAGTCTGAGCTTTTTATTTTGTTTTACTTAGAAAGATAGAGACAGGGTCTTGCCATGTTGCCCAGGCTGGTCTCGAACTCCTGGGCTCAAGTGATCCTCCTGCCTCGGCCTTCCAAAGGGCTGGGGTTACAGGCATGTGCCACCGCACTCAGCCGCAGCCAGTCTGTTTTCAAAGATGGTCTTTGGGTTAATGACAATTCTCTCTCTGCTTACTCTCCAGGCAGTGTGGCTTTCTGAATCCAAGGAGGCTGGGCATAGGGAGATGGGATTTGTTTTGCTCAGTTTGGACTCAGCATTTTTTGTACTCGATTTAATAGACTCATAAAATGTCAAAGGTTTAAGTGAGCTTAGAGTTCGTCTGGCCCAAACCTGGCTGATCAGAATCTCCAGGGGAAGTTTTTTTTGAAATGCCAGATCTCTGCATTCTGAGATCCTGATTTAGTAACTCCAGGGTTGGAACCTGAGGTTTTTTTTTTTTTTTTTTTTTTTTTTTTTTGCGAAGGCAGGGTCTTACTCTGTTGCTCTGGCTGGAGTGCAGTGGTGTGATCACAGCTCACTGCAGCCTTGAATTCCTGGGCCTAAGCAACCCTCTTGCCTCAGTCTTCCAAGTAGCTGGGACTCCAGGTGTACACCACTGTGCCCGGCTAATTTTAAATGTTTTTGTAGAGATTGGATCTCACTATGTTGCCCAGGCCAGTCTCAAACTCTTGAGCTCAAGTGATCCTCCTGCCTTAGCCTCCTAAAGTGCTGGGATTACAGGCATGAGCCACCGTGCCTGGCTGATACTAGCATTCTTTTTTTTTTTTTTTTTAAAGATAGAGCCTTGCTCTGTTGCCCAGGCTGGAGTGCAGTGGCACAGTCTCAGCTCACTGCAACCTCCGCCTCCCAGGTTCAAGCAATTCTCCTGCCTCAGCCTCCCAAGTAGCTGGGATAACAGGCACATGCCACCATGCCTGCGCTTGGTCGTGGGAGGCAGAGGTTGCACTATTGTGCCACTCCATTCTAGCCTGGGCAACAGAGCGAGACTCTGTCTTCCAAACAAAGCGAAAAAAGATTATCTGCGAGAATGACTGCATTGGCTCCTTGGGTGGGAGCGCTTCTCCAGGGCAAGGTGAGGGGATGCCCAGTGCTGGAAGTGCTGCCTGGAGAGGAGTCAGTTCCAGTGGTGGGGGCCCTGGGTTTTGGCTGAGGACTACGTGTTGGCAGCTGCTCTGCCTCTCACAGCCCTTCCCAGCTGCACAGGTCGTGAGCGTCAGTGTGCAATCACAGGCCTGCCTCCTTTGGGCCACTTTGTGACCATGATTTTTGCTTGTGGGGCAGGGTAATTTCAGGATCTAAATTGGTGCAGTTGGATGTTCTCAGCCCCGAGAGGCAGCTCTTCCCGTTCTAGGCTTTTTGTTTTGTTTTGTAGAAATGGAGTCCTATGATGTTGCCCAGGCTGGTCTCAAACTCCTGGGCTCAAGTGATCTTATTTGTGCATTATAAGATTTTCTAAAATGCTCAAAAAAATGCAGTGCTCATCACAAAATCAGAAATAAGTTCAGGGACAACATATAATCTTCAGATCAAACAGGACTTTCCTCAACTAAGAAAATTGGAGTGTAATACTAAACGCTAAATGATTTTGATGTTTTAAATATTATTTCTTAAAAACTAACATTTCTTTTTCCGATTAACGTAAAAAGAAGTTTAAACTATCAAAGCACAAGTACCCAGATGTCTATTTAATGCACATAAAGACTTTTTGTACATAAAAAGAACGCATGGGATGATTTATACTGGCTTTTAAACTTTATATATAATAATAATTGAGAAAAACTGTTTATTTGGCATCATGATGTCAGAGACAGTGAAAACAAACAAACAAAAAAAATCAGATCTCTGAACAATTTAACTTGTGGAAATTTCTTCTTCCTTAAATATAGTTATAACGAGTCTTTTCAGAGTCATTCAGTAATGATCATTCAATATGATCATTATTACTGTATTTTAATGTTGTGTTAGTTTTCGTCATGATCAAACAGACTGATGGTCAGTTAATACCCAGGATGATAGTAACGTTGAGAACCTTCTTATTTCACCGTGAACTCACCCAAAATGCAAATAAAATGGGTCACAGAGAAATACCTAACCTGAGAAATGTTTGCACTTTAAAGACATATGTAGCTTATGAAGGTGATGATTTTACTCGCACATTTTTTCCTAACAGGCACTGCTTTCACAGCTTTGAGCATCTTAAAGGACTTTCTTTACATTCTGAACTTCTGGGAATCCTTAGTTATTTGTATTGCAAATAACTCCATTTTTAACAAGTCACAAAAGAGCCATTAATATGCAATATTATAGTATCCCCTGACAGGTTTAAACCCCCAAACAGACCTCAACTGTAAATAATTTTATATACATTATTTTGGTTTTCTTCCCCTCATCTTCACATTTCATCTTTTTTACTGACACTTTTATCTTAGATTTGGAGTCCAGCCTTCCAGACCTGATCTTATACACCAGCCTCGCTTTACATCATGCTGCAAAATCCTCAGGTAATTAACATCATTTTTTCAATGATTTGACCCTCTCTGATATTTCTCAGACATACTTCCAATGATCCTGAAATAATGTCTCCTCTCTGACCAGTTATACAAGATTAAAATACTAAAATTATTTTCTGTGGAAATCTCAGAAGCCTATTTCATTTTTTAAATAAACTGCCTATTTCTTTAAGAAAACATGTTTAGAAAACTTCTATCTGAGACGTTAAGACAGCCTGCTTTAGGTGTATCAGGTTTTGAAAGTTAGAAAATTTGATGTGTCCTCTGTGTAAGAAAACAAAAAGGCAAAATTGCAATTGTCACATTAAGTCCAAACATTACTATATAAATCAAAATGAATAGCCAATTTTATAAAATTACAAATTTTGAACACCAGAAATATTTTTAAAATCATATTTTCACCATTTAACTTTCTCACCAACCTCTATAATACATTTTCTTACATTTTGTTTGTATTTTTTCTGATTACCATGTCATATGATGACAATTGTATAATAGCATTGTCTCTACAAAAATACAAAATGTAATTCAGTCTTTCTTCTAGCATGGTTGATGAAGACCTTTATTATTAGTTAATGTTTAGAAAGGTTTCTTTCAGCTTCAATCTTGTTATTGGAAATGCTATGCAAATTCTAGGATTGTTTCTAAATTTGTCAAAATCTCTTTTTAGTTTCTTTTAGTATAAACTTTAAGATTTCAAAACTTATTTACTTTGTACTTCCTTTTGCAGTGTGTTGTCTTAAATAATTTTTGGTGTGACCACCATTTGTTGATTAAATTCTTGTTAATGTTTTTGTTTGTTTCATCAGCAGCAGCAGCATTTTGTGGTATTCAACCAGAAAATAAGGCTCTGTAAAAATGTAACTGGACAATTCATTATAAGATGAAGGAGACATGTAGGTGCTCAGGCATAGCTAAGTAGAGAAAAATAGTGAGGTTAAAAAGTATGGGTGAGATAGAAGTGGGCAATCAGAATGAAAATATATGTAGAGCCAGACAAAAAGATGGCTCATAGTGACAAATTCTGGACATAAGTAAGAATCAAATAGAATATATATATATATATATATATATATATATATATATATATATATATATATATTAAACAAAGTCTCACTCTGTCTCTGCTCCAGGCTGGAATGAAGTGACATGATCATAGCTTACTGCATTCTGGAATTCCTAGGCCCAATACATCCTTCTGCATCAGCTTCCTGAGTAGCTGGGACTACAGGCAATGCCACTGTGCCTGGCTTATTTATTTATTTATTTACTTTGTTTGTAGAGATGTGGTGTGGGGGGCGGTGTCCCATCTTCTTACCCAGGCTGGTCTTGAACTCCCGCCTTCAAGTTTTCCTCCCACCTGCTGGGATTCAAGTGATCCTCCCACCTGCCTCCCAAAATGCTGGGATTACAGCCCTGAGCCTCTGTGCCTGGCCCAGCTAGAATGGTTTTAAATTAAAAGTCCTGTTGATGGATCACTAAACATGAGACAGATAATTTTGTATATTGTTAAGATCATTAGCATTAATTTCAAACAAATTGATGCTTGAATATTAGTGCTGCCCTTATTAGCCTGTGAAACCTTATTAGCAATTACTGAACACAGAAGTAACAGCAGTATGACACACATGTGCACTACATCTAAACTAATTCTAGCGCTAACTTTTTTTCCCGTCAGTTGGGTTCCCAAAACACCTGTGCCTACACCAAATCCCCCCCCTACTAAATAAAACTAGGCAAAGTTAAACAGGTAAGGAAGGCTTATTCATGGATCTTGCAATTGGGGGAAAGACTAGAATGTAGTCTGAACTCAATTCCCTTGAAACAAAAGGGCAGGAGAGTTTTTAAGAGCTGAGGTGGGAAAGAACATACGCCATCTGTGTTTGCTAATTGTCCTGACCTAAAAGAAAAGGAAACTTTCTAATTTCTTCATGACAGAAAGTAGTTTCACAACCTGAAGCAAAGTGTCCACCAAAGTTAGTTTCCCTGCCACAGAGAATGAGAGATAGGCATGTCTATCTTCCTTGATGATGACATTTCAAAGAGATGGCTCCCAGGCCCTTAAGAAAAAAATCATTCCTGGGTTGTAAAACTGGCAGTCTTTTAAAAAGATTTACATCTCAAATGGGTTGGGAAAAAATTTACAACGACAATTTTTTTTAAGTCATTGCTACAAGAAAAGTGAGATTGGAAGGTTAGTGAGGAAGCCTGTCTAAAGTTTATTTAAACTCAGGGGAATTAAAACTGTCTTGGCCACAACTAACATAAGGAGAACTGGAAAGAAAGAGGAGTCTGAGAGGAAAGACAGTGAACTTTTACACCTTTTACAGAAGTTTGTGCCCATGACAACACCCTAATCATTTGTAGGGACCTGATTAAATGAAGAATACTGGCTTAAATTTCTTTCACTTCCCAATATATCTACCACTGTGAAAGTACATGGGACATTAAATTAGACAGAGCCAAGCAGAAATCCCAGCTCTGTCATTTATAAAACATTTTCTTGGCATATGCTTGTTCTTTCTTCACCCCTCATTCTTTATATCAACCGAGCAGCCAGATCTGAAAATTAGGCCTCCCAAAGGTTTTTCTATTCTTCTCTTCCATATTCACAGATATCATATGGTACAGAACGTCATGATCTTTCACATAGAATAACGTTGACACCACCTAATGAGCTGCCACACTTCTGTTGCTCTCATATAGTCCTCACACAATAGCCACAATCATCTTTCAAAAATTTAAACAAAGTCTATCATTTACCTGCATACAACTTTAAGAATATCCCTATTTCACTTCGAAATAAATCTACCTCTTTCCTGCAGTCTACAATGGCTTAAGTTTTCTCTTTCATTTATTGTATTCCAGAAACACTGGCTGTCTTTCATGCCTTGAGCATGTTAAACTTTATCTTATCAGGGCTTTTTCACAGGCTAATTCCTCTCTTAAAACTGAGCATTGTCTGTATTTTCAATCACTCTCAATATAATACAGAGAACCATGTAAACTTACTCTGGTTACTAGTGAGGTTAAATAACTTTTCATGTGTGTATTGATCATCTTGAATTCTTTTTCATATGCATTTTTCACTCAAATTTCTTGCTTAGTGTTGCTATTGTGCAAAATCACTTTTAAAGGCTTTTGTATAAGGTTATAGAAATGGTTTTACATATATTGCAGACATGTAAAAAGTTTTTATTATGTTTTATTCATTGTTTAAAATGGAGTTTTGTGCTTATTTCATTTTTAAAAATTTAAATATTAATTCCATCTTCCTGTATAGTTGGTAGTATATTATTTTTAACTGTCAGTTCATTTCTGAACTAAAAAGGAAGATATGACTTAGTCTACTCAGGAATTTCTCAAATTTCAGTACTGAATTTTTTTGACATATCAATTATTAACAACAATCTATCAACTTAATACCCAGCATTTCATACTTGTGAATTTTTAGAGTAGTCTAAAACATCCCTATCTCTTATCATATTAGTAAACTTTCAGACTCTTTCTTAGGTTTTAAGTTTTCACATAATGAATCTTGCAGGAAAATAAAACTAATCTCTTGGTTCACTATTTCACTGAAAAGACTGAACACTTTTGGTGCATCACATACCCTTTTAGTTGCTGGGAATAACGCAGTGAAAATAGACAAAACAGAAAAATAATTTATGTCTTTGTAAGCCTTCTAACAAGTGAGTAAACAGAAAAAAATACGTGAATTTTTTTAAAGATATATATATATTTTAAAATATATGTATTTTAAAGATATATATATATATAGACAGATAATATGTACACATAGGCTTAAAAGAAGGCTACTGCAACAATAAAAGTAAGAGTAGTTCACTATAATGAGATCAATGAGGATGGAGAGGAGTTTTCAGAATGTGGAGTCAACAGGATTTGCTGAAAGATTTGACTGGATTGCATGTGGAAGAATCTAGAATGACACAAACGTTTTAAACTAAGAACTTGAAAATACAGAGATGCCACTTATTGAAATGGGGAAGATTTTAAGTGAAACAGGTTTGGTTAAGGGAAAGATCAGGACTTTGATTCAGACCTTTGAAGTTTGAGATACTGCTCTATGGTTATGTGGAAATGCTGATCAGGCAGCTGGATATAGAAGCTCATGGGGAATATTTAGGCTGAATATATAATTCCAAAAGCTATCACCATATAGATGATATGTATGCCACATGCTGGTGTGAAATCACCAAGGTAATTATGCAGACTGATACTCTGGGATTTCTATGTCTACTTGAAAGGGAGAAAGAATTAGTGGTGGAATTGTGAAGATAACCAGTGACAGAAAAGAAAAACCAGAGAGTATAGTGTCCTAGAAGTCAAGTAAATAAAGTATATCAGTGATAAAACAGTAATCAACGCTATCAAATTCTGCCGATATATAGCAAATTTTGAGAATTTATCAAGCATTTAGCAAATGGAGGTTATTGGGTACATCGCCGACAGCAGTTGCAGTAAAATAGCAGGGAAAAATTTTGTTTGTGCAATATTCAAGAGAGAATGGAAGAATAGAAATTGGAGACTAAAAGTCTCTTTCAAAGGAGTGTGATTTAAAAGCCCATCATAATCGGAGGCTTTGGCAACTGGCTAGTTCCCCTAATAATTGGTGCCCCCGACATGGCGTTCCCCGTATAAATAACATAAGCTTCTGACTCCTCCCTCCTTCCTTCTGCTCGCATCTGCCATAGTGGAAGCCGGTGCCGGAACAGGTTGGACAGTTTACCCTCCCTTAGCAGGAAATTACTCCCACCCTGGAGCTTCCGTAGATCTGACCATTTTTTCCTTGCATCTAGCAGGCATCTCCTCTATTCTAGGAGCTATCAACTTCATTACAACAATTACAACATTACAACATTACAACTTTACAACTTCATTACAACAATTATCAATATAAAACCCCCTGCCATAACTCAATACCAAACACCCCTTTTCGTCTGATCCGTCTTAATCACAGCAGTCCTGCTTCTCCTATCCCTCCCACTCCTAGCTGCTGGCATTACCATGTTATTAACAGACCGCAACCTCAATACCACCTTCTTTGACCCGGCCGGAGGAGGAGACCCTATCCTGTACCAACACCTATTCTGATTTTTTTGGCCACCCCGAAGTTTATATTCTTATCCTACCAGGCTTTGGAATAATTTCCCACATTGTAACTTACTACCCCGGAAAAAAGGAACCATTCGGGTATATAGGCATGGTCTGGGCTATGATATCAATTGGTTTCTTAGGATTTATTGTATGAGCCCACCATATATTTACAGTAGGAATAGACGTAGACACACAAGCCTACTTCACCTCTGCTACCATAATTATCACTATTCCCACTGGCGTCAAAGTATTTAGTTGGCTCGCTACACTCCACGGAAGCAATACCAAATGATCTGCTGCAGTACTCTGAGCCCTAGGGTTCATTTTTCTCTTCACTGTAGGTGGCCTAACCGGCATTGTATTAGCAAACTCATCATTAGATATCATACTACACGATACATACTACGTCGTAGCTCACTTCCATTACGTTCTATCAATAGGAGCTGTATTCGCCATCATAGGGGGTTTTATCCACTGATTCCCTCTGTTCTCAGGTTACACTCTAGACCAAACCTATGCCAAAATTCATTTTGCTATCATGTTCATTGGTGTAAATCTAACTTTCTTCCCACAACACTTTCTTGGCCTATCTGGAATACCCCAACGTTACTCGGACTACCCCGATGCATACACCACATGAAATATTCTATCATCTGTAGGCTCATTTATTTCCCTAACAGCAGTAATACTAATAATTTTTATAATTTGAGAAGGCTTCGCTTCAAAACGAAAAGCCCTAATAATCGAACAACCCTCCACCAACCTGGAGTGGCTATATGGATGCCTTCCACCCTATCATACGTTCGAAGAACCCATATACATAAAACCTAGACGAAAAAGGAAGGAATGAAACCTCCTAAAGCTGGTTTCAAGCCAACCCCACAGCCTCTATGACTTTTTCAAAAAGATATTAGAAAAACCATTTCATAACTTTGTCAAAGTTAAGTTACAGGTTAAACCCCGTATATCTTAATGGCACATGCAGCACAAGTAGGTCTACAAGACGCTACTTCTCCTATCATAGAAGAACTAATCATCTTTCATGATCATGCCCTCATAATCATTTTTCTCATCTGCTTTCTAGTCCTGTACGCCCTTTTCCTAACACTCACAACAAAACTAACTAATACTAGTATCTCAGACGTCCAAGAGATAGAAACCGTCTGAACGATCCTACCCACTATTATCCTAGTCCTAATCGCCCTCCCATCCCTACGTATCCTCTACATAACAGATGAGATCAACGACCCCTCCTTTACTATCAAATCAATTGGACATCAATGGTATTGAACCTATGAATACACTGACTATGGTGGACTAATCTTCAACTCCTATATACTCCCCCCATTATTCCTAGAACCAGGTGACCTACGACTCCTTGACGTTGATAACCGGGTGGTCCTCCCAGTTGAGGCCCCCGTCCGTATAATAATTACATCACAGGATGTCTTACACTCATGAGCTGTCCCCACACTGGGCCTAAAAACAGATGCAATTCCCGGACGCCTGAACCAAACCACATTCACCGCTACACGACCAGGGGTATACTACGGCCAATGCTCAGAAATCTGTGGAGCAAACCACAGTTTTATGCCCATCGTCCTAGAATTAATTCCCCTAAAAATCTTTGAAATAGGACCCATATTCACCCTATAACACACCTTTCACCCCTCTCCAGAGCCCACTGTAAAGTTAACCTAGCATTAACCTTTTAAGTTAAAGATTGAGAGAATCACTACCTCTTTACAGTGAAAATGCCACAGCTAAACACCACTGTATGACCCACCATCATTACCCCAATACTCCTCACACTATTTCTCATCACCCAACTAAAAATATTAAATACAAATTACCATTCACCCCTTCACCAAAACCCATTAAAATAAAAAACTACGATAAACCCTGAGAACCAAAATGAACGAAAATCTATTCGCTTCATTCATTGGCCCTACAGTTCTAGGCCTACCCGCCGCAGTACTGATCATTCTATTTCCCCCTTTACTAATCCCCACCTCCAAACACCTCATCAACAACCGACTGATTACTACTCAACAGTGGCTAATTCAACTGACCTCAAAACAAATAATAGCTATACATAACGCCAAAGGACGAACCTGATCTCTCATACTAATATCCTTAATTACTTTTATTGACACAACTAATCTCCTCGGACTCCTGCCCCACTCATATACACCAACCACCCAACTATCTATAAACCTAGCCATGGCCATCCCCCTGTGAACAGGTACAGTAATTACAGGCCTTCGCTCTAAAACCAAAAATGCCCTAGCCCATCTCCTACCACAGGGCACACCTGCACCCCTTATTCCCATATTAATCATTATTGAAACCATCAGCCTACTTATTCAACCAGTAGCCCTAGCCGTACGCCTAACTGCTAACATCACTGCAGGCCACCTACTTATGCACTTAATTGGAAGTGCCACACTAGCAATATCAACTGTTAACCTCCCCTCAACGCTCATCATCTTCATAATCCTAATTCTATTAACTATTCTAGAAATCGCTGTTGCCCTAATCCAAGCCTACGTTTTTACACTTCTAGTGAGCCCCTACCTACACGACAACACATAATGGCCCACCAATCACATGCCTACCATATAGTAAAACCCAGCCCATGACCCCTAACGGGGGCCCTCTCAGCCCTCCTGATAACCTCTGGCTTAGCCATATGATTCCACTTCTATTCCACAACCCTACTCACACTAGGCCTACTAACCAACGCGCTAACCATATACCAATGGTGACGTGATGTAATGCGAGAAAGCACGTACCAAGGCCACCACACACCACCCATCCAAAAAGGTCTCCGATATGGAATAGTCCAATTTATCGCCTCAGAAATCTTCTTCTTCGCCAGATTTTTCTGAGCTTTCTACCATTCCAGCCTAGCCCCTACCCCCCAACTAGGAGGACACTGACCTCCAACAGGCATCACCCCACTGAACCCCCAGAAGTCCCACTTCTGAACACATCCGTACTACTCGCATCAGGAGTCTCAATCACTTGAGCCCACCACAGCCTAATAGAAAATAATCGAAACCAAATAATTCAAGCGTTACTTATTACAATTTTACTAGGTGTTTACTTTACCCTCCTACAAGCCTCAGAGTATTTCGAAACGCCCTTTACCATCTCTGACGACGGCATCTATGGCTCAACATTTTTTGTAGCCACAGGCTTTCACGGACTCCACGTCATCATTGGATCAACTTTCCTCACTATTTGCCTCATCCGCCAACTAACATTTCACTTTACATCTAAACATCACTTCGGCTTTGAAGCCGCCGCCTGGTACTGACACTTCATAGATGTAGTCTGACTATTTCTATACGTCTCAATCTACTGATGAGGATCCTACTCTTTTAGTATAAACAGTACCGTTAACTTCCAATTAACTAGTTTTGATGATATTCAAAAAAGAGTAATAAACTTCGCCCTAATTCTAATAGTCAATACCCTCCTAGCCCTACTATTAATAGTTATTACATTCTGATTACCACAACTCAACAGTTACATAGAAAAATCCAACCCTTACGAATGTGGCTTCGACCCCCTATTCCCCACCCGCATTCCTTTCTCCATGAAATTCTTCTTAGTAGCCATCACCTTTCTATTATTTGACCTAGAAATTGCTCTCCTACTGCCCTTACCATGAGCCCTACAAACAACCAACTTACCACTAACAGTCATATCATCCCTCTTATTAATCATTATCCTAACCCTAAGCCTAGCCTACGAATGATCACAAAAGGGATTAGACTGAGCCGAATTGGTACATAGTTTAAATAAAACGAATGATTTCGACTGATTAAATTATGATAGTCATATTTACCAAATGCCCCTTATTTATATAAATATTATACTAGCATTTACTATCTCACTTCTAGGAATATTAGTATACCGCTTACACCTGATATCCTCCCTACTATGTCTAGAAGGAATAATATTGTCATTATTTATTATGGCTACTCTCATAACCCTTAACACCCACTCCCTCTTAGCCAACATCGTGCCTATCACCATATTAGTCTTTGCTGCCTGCGAGGCAGCAGTAGGCCTAGCCCTACTAGTTTCAATCTCCAACACATACGGCTTGGACTACGCCCATAACCTAAACCTACTCCAATGCTAAAACTAATTATTCCAACAATCATATTACTACCACTAACATGATTCTCCAAAAAACATATAATTTGAATCAACACAACCACCCACAGCCTAATTATCAGCATTATCCCCCTACTATTTTTCAACCAGATCAACAACAACCTATATAGCTATTCTCTATCCTTCTCCTCCGACCCCCTAACGACCCCCCTTCTAATACGGACAACCTGACTCCTACCCCTCATAATCATAGCAAGCCAACGCCACCTATTCAACGAACCCCTATCACGAAAAAAACTCTACGTCTCTATACTAATCTTCCTCCAAAACTCCTTAATTATAACATTCACAGCCACAGAACTAATTATATTCTACATCTTCTTCGAAGCCACACTTATCCCCACCCTAGCTATTATCACCCGATGAGGCAACCAAACGGAACGTCTAAACGCAGGCACATATTTCCTATTTTATACCCTAGTGGGCTCCCTCCCCCTACTCATCGCATTAATCCACACACACAACACCCTGGGCTCACTAAATATTTTATTACTCACCCTTACTGCCCAAGAGCTATCAAACTCCTGAGCTAGTAACTTAATATGACTAGCATACACAATAGCTTTCATAGTAAAAATGCCCCTCTACAGACTCCACCTATGACTCCCTAAAGCCCATGTTGAAGCCCCCATTGCTGGCTCAATAGTACTCGCTGCAGTGCTCTTAAAATTAGGTGGCTATGGCATAATGCGCCTCACCCTCATTCTCAACCCCCTGACAAAACACATAGCTTATCCCTTCCTCATACTATCTCTATGAGGCATAATCATAACAAGCTCCATCTGCCTACGACAAACAGACTTAGAATCACTCATTGCATGCTCTTCAATTAGCCACATAGCCCTCATAGTAACAGCTATTCTCATCCAAACCCCCTGAAGCTTCACCGGCGCAGTCATTCTCATAATTGCCCACGGACTTACATCCTCCTTATTTTTCTGCCTAGCAAACTCAAACTACGAGCGAACCCACAGCCGCATCATAATTCTCTCTCAAGGACTTCAAACCCTACTCCCACTAATAGCCTTTTGATGACTTCTGGCAAGCCTCGCCAACCTCGCTTTGCCCCCCACCATTAACCTACTAGGAGAACTCTTCGTACTAGTGACCTCATTCTCCTGATCAAACATCACCCTCCTACTCACAGGACTTAACATACTAATCACAGCCCTATACTCCCTCTATATATTTACCACAACACAATGAGGCTCGCTCACACACCACATTAACAACATAAAACCCTCACTTACACGAGAAAACACTCTCATATTCATACACCTATCCCCCATCCTCCTCCTATCCCTTAACCCTGATATCATTACCGGTTTTACCTCCTGTAAATATAGTTTAACCAAAACATCAGATTGTGAATCTGATAACAGAGGCTCACAGCCCCTTATTTACCGAGAAAGCTCATAAGAACTGCTAACTCATACTCCCATGTCTAACAACATGGCTTTCTCGACTTTTAAAGGATAACAGCCATCCGTTGGTCTTAGGCCCCAAAAATTTTGGTGCAACTCCAAATAAAAGTAATAACCATGTATGCCACCATAACCATCCTAGCCCTAACTTCCTTAATTCCCCCGATCATTGCCACCTTCATCAACCCTAACAAAAAGAGTTCATACCCCCACTATGTAAAATCAATTATTGCATCCGCCTTTATTATTAGCCTCCTCCCCACAACAATATTCATATGCCTAGACCAAGAAGTTATTATCTCAAACTGACACTGAGCAACAACCCAAACAATACAACTCTCGCTAAGCTTTAAACTAGACTATTTCTCCATAATATTAATCCCTGTAGCACTATTCGTCACATGATCCATCATAGAATTCTCACTATGGTATATAAGCTCAGACCCAAACATTAATCAATTTTTCAAGTATCTGCTTATTTTCCTAATCACCATACTAATCCTAGTTACAGCTAACAACCTATTCCAACTCTTCATCGGCTGAGAGGGCGTAGGGATTATATCCTTCTTACTCATTAGCTGGTGGTATGCTCGAACAGATGCCAACACAGCAGCCGTCCAAGCAATCCTATACAACCATATTGGTGACATCAGCTTCATCCTAGCCCTAGCATGATTTTTCCTACACTCCAACTCATGAGAACCACAACAAATATTCCTCTTAAGTGCTAACCCCAACCTTATCCCACTACTAGGTTTCCTCCTAGCAGCAGCAGGAAAATCAGCTCAACTAGGCCTTCACCCCTGACTCCCCTCAGCCATGGAAGGCCCTACCCCTGTCTCAGCCCTACTCCACTCAAGCACCATAGTTGTAGCTGGGGTCTTTCTACTCATCCGCTTCCACCCCCTAGCAGAAAATAGCCCGCCAACCCAAACCCTCACACTATGTTTAGGCGCTATAACTACCCTACTCGCAGCAGTCTGCGCCCTCACACAAAATGATATCAAAAAAATCGTGGCCTTCTCTACTTCAAGCCAATTGGGACTCATAATAGTCACAATCGGCATCAACCAGCCATACCTAGCATTCCTACACATCTGTACCCACGCCTTCTTCAAAGCCATGCTATTTGTATGCTCCGGATCCATTATCCATAACCTCAACAATGAACAAGACATTCGAAAAATAGGAGGACTACTCAAAACTATACCCCTCACTTCAACCTCCCTCACCATTGGCAGCCTAGCACTTGCAGGAATACCCTTTCTCACAGGTTTCTACTCCAAAGACCTCATCATCGAAACCACAAACATATCATACACCAACGCCTGAGCCCTATCTATTACTCTCATCACCACCTCCCTGACAAGTGCCTACAGCACTCGAATAATTCTTCTCACCCTAACAGGCCAACCTCGTTTCCCAACCCTTAACAATATCAACGAAAACTGCCCCACCCTATTAAACCCCATTAAATGCCTAACAATCGGAAGTCTTTTCGCAGGATTTCTCATCACCAACAGCATTTTCCCCGCATCCACTCCCCAAATAACAATCCCACTTTACGTAAAACTCACAGCCCTAGGCATCACCTCCCTAGGACTCCTTACAGCCCTAGACCTCAACTACCTAACCAACAAACTCAAAATAAAAACCCCACTATATACATTTTACTTTTCTAATATACTCGGATTCTACCCCAGTATTACTCATCACACAATCCCTTACCTAAGCCTTCTTGCAAGCCAAAATTTACCCCTACTTCTTCTAGACCTAACTTGACTAGAGAAACTGTTACCTAAAACAATTTCACAATACCAAATCTCGGCCTCCATCACCACCTCAACTCAAAAAGGCATAATCAAACTTTATTTCCTCTCTTTTTTCTTCCCACTCCTCCTAACCCTTCTTCTAATCACATAATCTATTACCCCGAGCAATCTCAATTACAATATACACACCAACAAATAACGTTCAACCAGTAACTACCACCAATCAACGCCCATAATCATACAAAGCCCCAGCACCAATAGGATCTTCCCGGATCAACCCTGGCCCCTCTCCTTCATAAATCATTCAACTTCCCACACTATTAAAATTTACCACAATCACCACCCCATCATACTCTTTCACCCATAACACTAACCCTACCTCCATCGCTAACCCCACTAATACACTTACCAAGACCTCAATCCCTGACCCCCATGCCTCAGGGTACTCCTCAATAGCTATCGCCATAGTATACCCAAAAACGACCATTATACCCCCTAAATAAATTTTAAAAAACCATTAAACCTATATAACCTCCCCCATAATTTAAAATAATAACACACCCAACCACACCACTAACAATCAACACTAAACCCCCATAAATAGGAGAAGGCTTAGAAGAAAACCCCACAAACCCCATTACTAAACCCACACTCCATAAAAATAAAGCATATGTCATTATTCTCGCACGGACTACAACCGTGACCAATGATATGAAAAAACATCATTGCATTTCAACTACAAGAACACTAATGACCCCAACACGCAAAATCAACCCGTTAATAAAATTAATCAACCACTCATTTATTGACCTTCCCACTCCATCCAATATCTCCACATGATGGAACTTCGGCTCATTTCTTGGCGCCTGCCTAATCCTCCAAATCATCACAGGACTATTCCTAGCCATACACTACTCACCAGACGCTTCAACTGCCTTCTCATTGATCGCCCACATCACCCGGGACGTGAACTATGGCTGAATTATCCGCTACCTCCACGCTAACGGAGTCGCAATATTCTTCATCTGCCTCTTCCTACACATCGGCCGAGGCCTATATTATGGCTCATTTCTCTACCTAGAAACCTGAAACACTGGCATTATCCTTCTACTCACAACCATAGCAACAGCCTTCATAGGTTATGTTCTCCCATGAGGCCAAATATCCTTCTGAGGAGCCACAGTAATCAGCAGCATTCATTATGATATCCAAAAATAAAATCTGAAGATTTCTCTTCCAAATGAGTCTATATTAAGCAAAAGATATTCTGCTGCCTCTTTGAGAAACTGGATGTATCTGAAATTAATGTGAACGGCTAAACCACACACACAAAGCTTACACTGTCAAATATCGTAAATGCCATTATGAATAATTTTGAGATGTTTAATATTTGCATATGAGTTTAAATTAGTTGAGTAAATTATACTTCAAATAAAAGTAAGACTTTCATGTCTCCAATATAGAGTTTTAAAAGAAATCAGCCACTGGGAGAGATTATATAGCTATACACTGTGGGAGCCTGAAAGACAGTTCTATAGCACAGACCTTCTAAGAGCACTTCAGTAAAATGAACACGAGACTCAGAGTCAGAAGACTTGAGTTCCTGTCCTGACTACAGGCTAGGACCACTTGTGATTTATAAGGGCAGTGTTAAATAATTGCTCTGCTACTTTCGCCTTTGTTGATGTGTACAATGCACTCAATGATATAATGTGTTCATTGGCACACATATGCACATAGGGGTGGAGATGTTTAAGAAAATATCCGTCTTAACAAACAGCAAATTCCTTCCAAATTTCAGTTAAAATTCAAGTCATGTTGACTGTGCTTAAGCATTTTGTTCTACAGCATAATAATACTTGGTGCAATTTCTTTTTTTGTTGACTCCACCAAGTTTTTTTAATGCTTGTTTAATTCAAACAAGTTAATGCAGCATAAAATACTTCAGCTTAGTTAATAAAGTAAAATACTATGGTCTGTTTGAAAATTCAGCTACTCCCCAAAATGGTTAACTAAAGCAATCTCATGAATCCTGGGCAGTTTCAAAGGTTGTACACTGAATTGGTCTATATGACTCCATTCTGGGAATCCATTCTCTGTCCCACATCTAACAGTAGGCATCAAAGATCCAAAAGGAACTTAAACTAGAGATGTAACAAAGGGCTTGACAGTTGCCTGAGGGAAAAAGTTTTCTCACCCAAACTACGTGGGCTTTATTTAAGGGATCCATTAAATTAATTTATGATATTTCACATGTATTTTAATAATGGCAATATAATCTCAGAGTAAGTTACATTAATATATTTACATTAATCTAGTTAGAGTATTTGGTTCATTTTCCAAATGGCATCTTAAGGCAACAAAATGCTGGAAGCGTTGTTATACTTTAAAAATCATCTAGTCTAGTTATTAAAAATATTCCTAAGAAAGAGTCTCCTAGCTGCCGCAAAGGTCAGGGTATGTGAGAGATTGAGTTTATCCCCTTTTCCATTATTCATTACAATTAGTCCCATTATGTTGTATGAATAAATGATGTGGAGTGCTTTGCCATAATTACATAATAACATTACACAATTGGAAAAATATCTTTGAAGCACAATTAAGCCAAATATCCCATTCCAATTAAAATGTCTTAATGTATTAATATTTTCATACTTAATCTGGGAAAGCTAATGTACCAAGCATTGGGAATGGAGTGGAAAACAGATACTGTCTCCAATCCAGTCTAGGATACAGTCTGTTACTGAAGAGAAATAATTAAACAATTTTGCAAATAAGTATAAATGTACAGCTTGCTAATTACTATGAGAGTGGCATGATGCTACAAAACCGTATTGTACAGGATTTGACATAGACTGGGAGATGACAGATGACTTCTCATATGAACGATTGGTGAAGTGTGATTATATACAAATGTTTAGAAGAATCTGTATCTAATTGTAGACTTATCTGCAATTGAAATGGGAGAGCCACTCTTTATGTAACTATAACTTTCAATTACATATACCAGTATGACCATTCTTCACAACAATGTGATCAGAGTAGACCTCAACTTATAGGCACTTTTCTCATCATCACTGTTTCCTGGCCTGAGCAAATTATTGATTAAACATTACATCCATAAGGAAAATTGGTCTTAAACTGTAAATGTATACTCACAGTAAGATTCCACCTTTCTATAAGCTTTCTTATATTCTTTCCTTGTTGTTGAGCATGTAAATATTCAACAAGTTTCTTCAATATAACTATTCAGTTTATATGTTAGAAAATCTTAAGGTAATATTTAGAAGTAAAATTTTTTCCTGTTTACTGAAGAAATATTTGCATTAGTTCTACTATCATTTAGAAAAATATATTCTGAAAAAGTCATACTTCGAAAAAGCTGTTTGGGATTAAAAATAGCAACTTTATAGTAGAAACCTAGACATTCAAACCACAACTCTCATTTTCAGTCAGAATTGACTTTTGATATGACTTTGAATTCATCTCAGTGTCTTGATTTATCCATCGATAAAGGAGAAATTAAAATTATTACCTAGCTACAGGAGTCTTGTAAGGAATTAATGTATTTAAATT
This sequence comes from Homo sapiens, assembly GCF_000001405.40. Lineage (NCBI taxonomy): Eukaryota > Metazoa > Chordata > Mammalia > Primates > Hominidae > Homo > Homo sapiens. Next base: position 100,043,548 of record NC_000005.10, on the reverse strand, counting down.
TTGTTAGCATCTAAGATAAAAGGTTCTAGATGAGTACAAAATATTACTCAAAATGAATGTTATAGTTCATCTTGCATTCAGGTTAATAAACATCACTTTAGATCAAAGGTTTATTTTTTGCATTTCTGCAGAAATATAAAGAAAATTATTTATCTTCAATATTCTGCTGACAGTAATTTTTTTAAGTGTCATGAACTGTTACCAGGGACTGAAGGAAATAGTTCTTGGCACTTTCCAATTCCCTATTTTGTGGCATTATCTACAGCATCTATATTGTGCAAGTAACCTTCAAAATTAAAAATAGCATCTCTGGATCAAAAAAAAAGAAGAAGAAAAGTACTTAGCAAGCCAATAACAATAACAATTTAAGCAATGAGAGATTAAAATTATGTAATAAAGATCAAGGAGAACAAAAAAGGAAATGGCAAGATTGTAATGACAAGTTTTGAAATTGCTGCATGTCTATTACAATTTATTTTAAATAACATAAACTAAATAAAAGTTCTTTTAACTTTCATTAACATTAGTTAAAATATCAATGAGAAACTCTCTTGTTGGGCAAAGACTTATTTTACTTATGTTTGCTTATAGGACAAATGACGTGACCTTGCTTTTTCTTTATATTGATTTTAAACATGTGGCATAGCACACAGGGACATAATGCAACTAAAAACACTGCAGAAGATTAACAGAAATAATCTAATGTGTTCTGGGTGGGAAATTTCTGTGCCAAGTTTCTTAAAATATTTTGCTCACTTCATTAATACTTATTTGGATTTTCATTGACTTTTGGAAAGAATGAGATTTAGTAGTTAGATATAAAAGTGAAAAAACCTCCAGAATCCCTTTGGGTTCCCTATTGACTTGAATAAATGTAGCCAAACAACCTTCGGCCCATGTATTTACGTATGTGTACATATTGCTCCTGGATCAAAATAAAAATCTGTGCATTATCCCAAATCTACATGAGAATCTCAGACATTAAAAAATTATAAAATTATAATGTTAGGGATGAGTAATTTTTCCTATTAGTAATTTTTTTTCACTTTTAGACACCATAAGAGATATAAATAAGCAGCTCATAATGTTTTTTGAGATTCTCAGAACTTGGTTCTGGGAAATATTACCTTGAGGTAATTTGCAAAAAAAGTAACTAGTAGAAATGAGGAAATAATCATAGTTAATTTAATTTAAATACCTTTTTTAAATTTAGTGACAAATTTACAAATTTAATTAGTTTCAAAGGTTTTTCTTTATTTTTGGAAGGGTTAAAGCACTGTAAGTAGAGCCTAGGAATGAATGGACAGTAAGTAACTATTCAATTTGATAATATATTAGGCAGTTTCTAGAAAGCTTTATTACCTTATAAAACCAAAGGCATGAACAGAGCTTTAAGATCATCTAGTCTAGTTATTAGAACATTTTTCTAAGAAATAATCTCTTGGCTGCCACTAAGGTCAGGGTATGTAATAGATTGAGTTTAGCCCCTTTACCATTATTCAAACAGATCTGTTCTGAGTTTACCTTTTATATATAGCAGTTCCATAAAAGTTTCATTGCAAAAAATGGTTAAGTTGCTTAAAACAGTTTGAAATGCACTGCTTTACACTATACTTTAGAGGTGAGAAATTTCTTCTCACCTGAGAGCCAGAGTGGAAATGGTTTTTATATCATGAAGTTAGTGCTTTGAACTTTGAAATCATTAAAGCACTATTTTTTCTCATATGTTAAGCCCTCAGTGATACCTGTCCTAAGACCCTCAACTCCCTGCTCTCTCTGTAACAGGTGCACTCACCTCCCCTTTTATTTTATTTTATTTTTTTAATAATTCAAGAATGCTTCTGCCCTAAAGACTTCACCCTGGATGTTCTCCGTGGCTGAAATGGCCTTTCCCAAGATAACTGCATATGTCTTTCCTACAACTTGAAACTAGAAGAACAAGGCAAATTTGAGACAACCAGTTTTTCTGTGATTTGCTTACTAATGTTTCTCCAGAACCCAGAACAGTGCTTAGAACATAGTGGATTCTCAATAAATATGTGATTATTGGAAGAAAAGAAGCAGTTAGAAGTGAACTGATTAGCTAAATGTTCAAGTAATATTGAACTATTTGCATGTCTATTTCTTAATTTTTAAAGCCATCTTTTTCATGTCAATTATGCAATAGTAACCACATTTGCATTACGGGTTTATTGATAATAATTTGTTTTAAGGAAAATCTGCCCCTTTTTCATTAATATATGTATATGTAATTTGAGATAAAATTTCAATGATTATTTTTAGATACATGAAAATTTGGGCATTGCCTCTTAACAAGATTACATTTTTTATTATTATGTAATCAGCTATCACTTAGCTCACAAATTTAGGCAAAAATCTTGATTAAAATTACCACTGTTATTTTAAAATAATGTAATTCTGCTTCTTACTCTGAATCAGACACCCACTCTGCCATACACATCCGGAGGATTTTCTTGATTAAAACACTGAGTTATCTAATTACTTCTGTGCCCTATAAATATATAGCATATGTTGAAAAAGTAGAAGCATGAGACTTTTTAAAATAGATTTTCTATTTATCTTTCTTACTTAAAATTTTAACCCATGTTAGTTAATTATCTTTAAGCATTAAAGTTTCCCAATAAAATGTGCAATTTGTGCTCTCTGTTATGCTCATTTCCATTTTTGGAAATATTGTTAAGCTTGTTTGAATATACTTGAAGCACTAATAACAAGGAAAAGCTTATTTTCTCCATAGAAAAATTGGTTGTCTTAATTTTGCCTCGTTCTTCTAATTTCAAGTGTTTTTTTTCCAGTTATATGGTGACTTTTATGTATTCTAGAGAAATTACCACTAATCCAAGTGCATATAAAAATTACTCATCAAATAATTAATAGTAATCATCACCACTTTGTATATTTGTATTTTCTCTGCATGTATTTCTCAACAATTGTGCTTCTTTCTTTTCCAGAATATAAAACTTATATTTCCTAAAACATTCCTTTTAAATTTTAACTCTTGTGTGTATGTGTGTGTGTGTGTGAGAGAGAGAGAGAGAGAGACAGATTTCAGCTTGAGAGTAAGCTATGTTAAACTTTATCACCAATAAATCTCATAAATGTCTGGATGTGTCTAGACTCAAAGAATGGTGCCTTGATTAAGTGAAAGTCTGTTTTATTGGGAAGCCGAATAAATTTTGGGGAAAGCACTAATTCTAAGGAAAGAGGGTGTCAGACCCAAGGCAGGCACAATAATAATACTTTTCTAATTCCCAGGAACAGGACCTGGCACATCACTGCAGCACAATTAATATTTTAAGTGTCTGGTTAAAAGAACAGCTGAGAGTAAAGTATAGTCACTTCCATCTACATTTTTAAATTCAGCCTAAATGCCATAAACTTGTATGTGAATCCAACAGAGAAGGATATTAAAAACAAACAAATTAAAAAACCCCAAAACCTAAAGATGTAGGTCAAGATGTTATTTTTACCCACACAGACACACTCACACATGCCTGGACACACACAGTCTCTACAATATAGTGAAAAAGAAAGCAGCATTGCTCAGAGACAAATACAGAAATGTAGACGTGTGTGTATGTGTGTGTGTGTGTCTGTGTGTGTTGTGTGTAACAATAGAGCTCAATTATCTAGGCTTTTCACACAAAAAAAAACATAGGGCAGCTTTGGCTCAGAAGGATAATTCATTCTGCCTTTGGCCATAATAACCTCCTAATTATGGCCACTGTTTATTCTGCCTTCCTCATTGCTTTTGCTTATTTCTTCTTCCTGAAACAGTAATTATTCACTACCCCTCTCTCTGTTTCTCTCTTTTTCACACACCCCCACAGACACACACACCTACACACACAGAGTTCTCATCTGGCTAGCTCCTAGTCAATTTTACAAAACCTCTAGGCCTAAATTTAATTCCTTTGAAAGAAATCAGTGAAATTAGGCTCCATTTTTAATTTTCCCTCAGACTACCCTACATTTTGTTTTACAATATTATGATTCATAATTCCATATTAATTATTCATCGTCTGGCTCACCCAGTAGGGTGTGAAGCTCATCAGGCTAGATTATTTGACTGTATTATTCCACAATATAACTCAGCATATAACACACAGTGAAGATGTGCTAAGAATTTGGTGAGTGACTTGATGATTGGAGACTGGCCTTTGGGCCCATGTTCCAGCAGCTCCCCTGGCAGCATGTTGTGCATCTGTGGCTGAAGGAGCCATAATATAAAAAAAGAACTGACAATGGGAAATGTTGTCTTGGCATCTTTTAGGGCAATAGCAGCTGGGACTCTTTGCAGAAATATTAGCCTTCTTGAATATGGGATTCCAGCAGTGGTAGCAAGTGCTATTATTACTTGATTATAGCTCAGAAACATGTTTATTCTTATCAGTTCTCATCCCTTACATTATAACTGCTGTCAAAGCCTCTATTCCACCTTCAAATTGAAGGTAATTTTAATGAGTCGTTTTATTAAACTCATTGGAATTTTATTAAAATTCAACTTTTATTAAACACTGAGAATGACCAATTTTGTGTATGTACAGATATCAAACAACATAGAACTGTCCTCACTCAAGAACGAATAATAAAGAAATAATACCTCCAACATGGGACCTAGTGATTTCATGCAACAAATACTTATGAAATATTATCAATATACGGAGGAGAAAGCAAACCTTTGAAAGAGAGAAAAACATTTTTGAAACCACTACTGTTATTGGGGTCTAGTATTTTGGTACCCTAGAGAAAACTGTAGGATCTACTCTCCGTTTTTGAAGGTAGCTTAGAAGGTAACCTTTGGCATGTTAATTTACACAGAGTTAACAAAATTTCCCATGTTTTGTAGGCAAATATTTATGGTGACTCTGTTAAGCTAGAGATGGATCTTCTATTTATCCTTGATTGAATTATTCAGAGGTAATCATTCTTATATGTTTTGAAGTAGTTCTTCCAAATGAATTTAGGGAATACTGCATCCCATATTGTATTCCTATGTCCCAGGACTTAACCACTTTCATTCCATTTATCTATCTATCCATATACATTCTTCCATGTGCTATCTACTATTTATTAAATTTTAATTATGCCATTAATGTGTTATATACATTTAAAATGTTAACATATTTATCGCTTACAGCAACCATTTGGAACGAATATGGGTGCTGAAAAGCCTATTTCCCTGACAAGTAGATTCATTAATGTGACTTTCAATTACTTGTTCAAGATGAGACATCTAGTAGATAGTGAAACTGAACCGTGAACTCATGCCCTTATGCAGGGGTTTGTGATACTCACAAATACACATCTCCAAAATTAGGGTTACTGTATCAGGTTGTAAAATACCAACTTCTTCCCTTTTGCATAATACTAGATTAGAATCATGAAATGTAAGATAAAACGTAGAGCAGAGTGATGAAATGAACTGAAGCAGAAAGCAGAAGACAAAATGGCTTTGCTTGCCTCGGAAAAAATTTCGAAATAATTGGAAAAATAGTTGTAGAAGTTCACGCCTCTGATAGACTGTAGGTGTGTGAACATCTTCAATTTTATCATAACAAACCTGGGTATGTAATTTCCTAGTCCTATCTATATTTTATTGATTAATCCATTTATTTATGGATTAATTTATTGATTGATTCCTGGGTTACCCCATCTTTGCTTTCTTTTAAGTAATTTTATGAGAATTTTGATGGCACTGCTAAGCTAGCAAATATTTTACTTTGAAAGTTTCTAAATATTCTCTAATTCAAAGGAATTATTCACCAATTTTGAGATTACATTTTCTTAAAAAATAATCTACCTATTTAAGGAATAACTTTAGGTTGAAGATATTAGATTTTCATTGTCCAGATGTATTTTTATTATTTTATTACATATTTTCTTTATGATAAGTTTATCTTATTTAATATATAGTCGAATGGAAACTAGTTATGGGCTTAATCCACTGTATTTTGTTGTTGTTTTCAGTGTCATAAACTATACCTGGTCCCTGGACATCTGACTCATACATAAAAGCCACTGGTTACAATGGAAATTGATTAGGAAAATGATGTTATAATTCTCAGCATTACTGTAAGGTAATTTAAAATATATCTGCTCTCATGATGGGATACATGCATTACTGATTTAGAAAGGTGATATTTTATCAAAGCATGTGGAAGTCTGTATACGGGAAACATTCTTGATTCTCATTCTTTGTCTCTGTCTCAATATGTTTCCCTTTTTGTTTCTATGTATATGTATCATACATATATATACAGTCATGCACCACATAACAATGTTTAGGTCAATGATGGACCGCATATACAATGATGGTCCTATAAGATTATAGTACAGTAATTGTACTGTATCTTTACTATGTTCAGATATGTTTAGATACCCAAACAGTTACTATTGTTTTACAATTCTCTATAGTATTAAGTACAGGAGCATGCATTTCTTGGAATGTATCCTTCTCATTAACGAATGCATGTCTGTATCTATGTCTATCTATATCTATTTTGCTATCCTCTCTCTCTCTTCTTTCTCTGTTCTGTAACTTTCTGTATTATTTTCTGCCTCTTGGTTCAGTCTGTCTCTCTCTCCCTGTCTCTGTTTCTCTTTCTCAAATTGTTTATTCAGGTGGAAAATAGAAAAAGATAAATAGTTCACTGGAACTTGTAACATGTATGTCAAGTTGAAATTGGTGAATATGACCCCTAGTGTGAAATATCATACTTAAGAAGTTAAAGTACAGCTGTAAAATTTAGAAGATTGTCTTTCCTAAAAAAGCAAGAATTAAGCTAGATAATTTTAATGAAAATCTCACTACAAAAGATGTGTAAATATAAACATTGTTCATAAATGTGCTAATTTATCTTTCCTGCTAAGAAAATCATTCTGATTATCTTATAGTCAATATCCAACAGTATAAATACACAGGAAAATTTATTTGAAAAGGAAATGTATTGTTTCAGTTTGTAGAAAGGTTAGAAAGAATACTTTTTAAAAACATACATAATGCTAAAAATTACACTGAGAAAAAAGGAGCAAACATAAAAATTCCCAGATCAATTAGCATCTTTAAAATTTTTAATCCTTTTTAGTTTCCTGGGAAGTTGATATACATAGAGGTTATAGTAACTATTGTTTGTTAACATTTGTAAATTACTTGAAAAAAAGGAATAGCAAATTGCCTTGACAATTATTTTTCAGTGAAATATTATAATGGTGATTTTGTTTTAAAAATGTACTCATGGTAAAAGCGATTTTATTTTCAAAGTAAATTTTATGATAATGATCATTATATATTTTCACTTACTTAGCATTCTCAATTTACAGTGGTTTTCCCAAAGTAAACAATGATGAGATTTTTAGACTATTTTGAGTTACCTCTTTTGGGCAGTTCAGTTCTAGGTTGAGACATATTTGAAAGCATAATTGAAATTAATCACTCTCTTAATTAATATAGCCTTATATTAAGACATAATACATGATAGAATGTCTCCATGCTTCTACTCTTTTTTCTTCAAAAGAGCTGGTTAGCCTTAACCATTTTGTATAATTATTAGAATCACCTTGTCAAGTTCTGTAAGTAAACTTTTTGGAGTTTTGATTGGAATTCTATTGAATCTAGATAGTTTGAAGATAAGATAATAACCGCATATGTTTCCAATTTTAACAAAAATAATGATTCATCTTTTGAATTACATATTCCTTAATGTATATTAGTAAAATTATATAATATCCCTGTAGAAATCTGATGTTTCCTGTTTGATTTATACCTATATATTTTATATATAAGAATGGATGTGATAACTTAGATTTGGATTTTTCCTGTTTACAACTGGTATAAAAAATTACAATTCACTAATGTACATTAATTTTGTATCCAGCCAGCTTATTAAACTCAACTATTATTTTAAAATTTTGTTTGTAGATCGTTTTAAATATTCTGGGTAAATGATCATATCACTTGAAAACAAGCTGTATTCTGTCCTTTCTCATGCTTACACCACTAAATTATATTTCTGGTCTTATACTATTGACTAGAGGCTATAATATTAAATTGGTGTAGTTGACATTTTCTTCTTACTCCTGATTTAAAAGGGAATGTTCATAAAGTTGTTATATTTATTATATAGTTAGCTCAGGTTTTTCTTGTTTATTTATTTAAGTATTCTGTGCAAAGCTAAATAATTTCTTTTAAGTGCTCAAGTTCTTTTTTAAAAATAGTGACTTGGTAATGAACTTTATAAAGTGCTTTGAGATGATCATATGGTTTCCACTTTAATTTTTTAAAGGCCTGAAATTTATTCATTTACTCACTTGGTTTTTTCACACAGATTTTATTGGATGTATAATTTAAAAATCAAATATTTTACCCATTTTAAATGTAAAATTCAGTGTTTAGTAAATTTACGGAGTTGTATATCTATCACTACAATCTAATTTTAGAATGTTTCCATCAGTCCGAAAATATCCATCGTGTCGAGCCCATTTGCAGTCATTTCCTGATTTTGCCTCCAATCCTAGACAACCACTAATCTATTTTCCATCTCTGTAGATTTTCCTTTTCTGGGCTTTTCACATAAATGGAATCATGCAATATATGGTCTTTCATGTCTGGCTATTTTCATTTAGCATAACATTCTTGAAGTTCATCCATATTATCAGTATTTCATTCCTTCTTATGGCTGAAGTGCGTTCAATTCTGTGGCTATAACTCTTTTTTATGAGTATGGACTAGATGTATATATTAATGGAGTACATGAGATATTTTGATAGAGGCATACAATGTGTAATAATCATATCAGGGTAAATAGGATATCCATCATCTCAAGTATTTATCATTTCTGTGTCACAAACATTCCTATTATACACCTTCAGTTATTTTTAAATGTACAATAAATTATTGGGTTTTGTTTTGTTTTGTTTTTTCAAGATGAAGTCTCGCTCTGTCTTCCAGGCTGGAGTGCAGTGGTGCGATCTCGGCTCACTGCAACCTCTGCCTCCCGGGTTCAAGCAATTCTTCTGCCTCAGCCTCCCGAGTAGCTGGGACCACAGGAGCGTGCCTCCATGCCTGGTAAGTTTTTTTGGTATTTTTTAGTAGAAATGGGGTTTCACCATGTTGGCCAGGATGGTCTCGAACTCCTGACCTCAGGTGATCTGCCCCCTTTGGCCTCCCAAAATGCTGGGATTACAGGCGTGAACCACCGTGCCCAGGCAATAAATTATTGTTGACTGTAGTGATCTTGTTGTGCTATCAAATATTAGGCCTTATTCATTCTATCTAACTATAGTTTTGTGCCCATTAACCATCCCTAATTCCCCCTACAACCCCTAATATGCTTTTCAGCATCTAGTAATGATCCTTCTACTCTCTATCTCCATGAGTTCAATTGTTTTAATTTTTAGCTCACACAAACGAGTGAGAACATGCAAAGTTTGTCTTCCTGTGCCTGGCTTATTTCACTTAACATAATGTCCTCCAGTTCCATCCATGTTGTTGCAAATGGCAGGATCTTATTCTTTTTTATGACTGAATACAGTACTTCATTGTGTATATGTACCACATTTTCTTTATCCATTTTTCTGTTGATGGGCACATAGGTTGCTTCCAAATCTTGGCTATTGTGAATAGCACATCAATAAGCATGAGACTGCAGATATCTCTCCAATATATTGATTTCCTTTCTTATGAATATATACCTAGCTAGATGATTGCTAGATAATATAGTAGTTCTAGTTTTAGTTTTTCGAGGGACCTCCATACTGTTTTCCACAGTGGCTGTACTAATTTATTTGATACATTCCCACTAAAAGTGTAGAAGGGTTCCCTTTTCCCCACAGCCTCACCAGCATTTGTCATTGCCTGTCTTTTGGATAAAAGCCACTTTAACTGGAGTGAGATGATATCTCATTGTAGTTTTGATTTGCACTTCTTTCATATTCAGTGTTGTTGAGCACCTTTTTATATACCTGTTTGCCATTTATATGTCTTCTTTTGAAAAATGTGTATTCAGATGTTTTGCCCATTTTTAAATCAGATTATTAGATTTTTTCTTATTGAGTTGTTTGAGCTCCTTATATATTCTGGTTATTAATCACACATGTCAGATGGAGAGTTTGCAAATATTTTGTCCAATTTTGTAGGTCATCTCTTCACTTTGTTGATTCTTTCTTAGCTGTGCAGAAGCTTTTTAACTTAATGTAATCCCACTTGTCCACTTTTTGCTTTGGTTCCTGTGCTTGTGGGGGATTGTTCAAGAAAACTTTGCCCAGCAAATGTCTTGGATGTCCTGGAAAATACAGTTTCAGGTCCTTGATTTCAGTCTTTAATTCTTTTTTTATATAATTAGAGGGGGGAGTTTAGTTTCACTCTTCTGTATATGGATATCCAGCTTCCCCAGCATCATTTATTGAAGAGATTGTCCTTTCCCCAATGAATTTTCTTGACACCTTTGTCAAAATGAGTTCACCATAAATGTGTGATTTATTTCCAGGTTCTCTATACTATTCCATTGGTCTGTGTGTCTGTTTTTATGCCAGTAGCATGCTACTTTGATTACTATAGTTTTGTGATATAATTTGAATTCAGGTAATGTGATTCCTCCAGTCTTGTTCTTTTGGCTCAAAATGGTTTTGACTATTCTGATTATTTCGTAGTTCCATATGCATTTTAGGATTATTTTGTCTATTTCTGTAAAGAATGTTATTGATATTTTAACTGGATTGCATTGAGTGTATAGATTATTTTGGGTAGTATGGACATTTAGAAAATATTGATTCTTCCATTCCAGAAACATGGGGTATATTTACATTTTATTGTGTCCTCTTCAATGTATTGCATAAATATTTAACAATTTTCATTTTAGAGATCTTTCACTTCTTTGGTTTATTCCTAGGTATCTAATTTTTTTGTAGTTATTGTAAATAGGATTACTTTATTGCTTTCTTTTTCAGAATATTTGCTGTTGGCATATAGAAACAATACTAATTTTTGTATGTTGATTTTGTATACTGGAACTTTACTAAATAGTTTTATTTGTTTATTGATGTGATCTTTAGATTTTTCCAATTATAAGATCATATCATCTAGAAACCGGGATAATTTTATTTCTTCCTTTGCAATTTAGATTCCCTTTATTTCTTTCTTTTGTCCAACTGCTCCAGCTAGAACTTTCAGTACCAAGTTGAATAATAGTCATTAAAGTGGGCATCCTTGTTGTGTTCCAGATTTTAGAAGAAAGGCTTTCAGTTTTTCCTTATTCAGTATGATACTAGCTGTAGGTCTGTTTTACATGGCTTTTATTGTGCTGAGGTATGATCCTTCTATTCCCAATTTTTTAAGGGTTTTTATCATGAAGAGATGTCGAATTTTATGAAATCCTTTTTCAGCATCAATTAAAATGTGGTGTAAGCATGAGAAAGGACAGAATACAGCTTGTTTTCAAGTGATATGATCATTTACCCAGAATATTTAAAACAATCTACAAACAAAATTTTAAAATAATGATTCATCTTTTGAGTTACATATCTTTAATGTATATTAGTAAAATTATATAATATTTTTAAAATAATAGTTGAGTTTAGTTAGCTGGCTGGATACAAAATTAATATGCATTAGTGAATTGTAATTTTTTATACCAGTTGCAAACAGGGAAAATCTAAATCTAAGTTATCACATCCATTCTTATATATAAAATATACAGGTATAAATCAAACAGGAAACATCAGATTTCTACAGGGATATTATGTAATTTTATCCTTCATTCTGTTGATAGGATGTATCATATTGTTTGATTTCCCTGTGTTGAAACCTTTTTACATACCTAGGATAAAACTCACTTGGTCATGATGAATAATCTTTTTAATGTGTTGTTGAATTCAGTTTGCTAAATTTTGTGGAAGATATTTGCACCAATGTTAATCAGGGATATTGGCTTGTATTTTTTTCTTTTTTGATGTGTCTTTTAATGGTTTTGGTATCAGGGTAATACAGGCCAAATAGAATGAGTTTGGAAGTATTCCCTCCTAATCTTTTTTCAGAATAGTTTGACTAGAATTTATATTAATTCTTCTTCAAATGTTTGGTGGAACTCAGCAGCGAAGCCATCATGTCTGGGGCCATTTTTTGCTGGGAGACTATTATGGCTTCAATCTCGTTACTTGTTATTGGTGTACTGAGGTTTTAGATTTATTCATGCTTCACTCTTGTAGGGCTATGTATGTTTAAGAACTTGAACATTTCTTCTGGGTTTTCCAATTTATTAGTTTGTAGTTGCTTATTGTAGTTTCTAGTGATCCTCTGAATTTATGTGGTGTCAGTTGATAGTATCCTTTTTCGTCTCTGATTTTATTTGGGTATTCTGTCTTTTTTTCTTCATCTTGTTGACCCTTTGTATTGTTTTTTGTTTTGTTTTGTTTTGTTTTAATATCATTCATTTCTGCTAATATCTTTATCTCTTTTCTTTTACTAATATTGGGTTTGGTTTGTCCTTGCTTTTTTTTAATTCTTTAAGATGCATCGTTAGATTGTTTATCTGAAGCTTTTCCACATTTTTGGTATAGGCACTTTGCTATAAACCTTCCTCATAGTACAGCTTTTGCTCTATGTTATAGACTTTGGAATGCTGAGTTTCCATTATTATTTGTTTCAATAAGTTTTTCAATTCCCGTGTTAATTTCTTCATTGATGAACTGGTCATTCAGGAACATATTGTTTAATTCCTACATGGTCATAAATTTTCAAAGTTCCTATCCTTATTGCTTTATAGTTTTGTTCCTCTGTGGTCAGAGAAGATACTTGATATGATTTAAATTTGTAAATTTTTAATTTTTATTCAGATTTGTTGTGTGGTATAATATAAGGTCTATACTAGATAATGATTCATGTGCTGAGAAGAAAAATGTGTAATCTGCAGCCACTGGATGACTGTTCTGTAAATATCTAGTAGGTCAATTTGGTCTAGAGTATAGATGAAGTTAAAGGTTTCTTTGTCTAGTTTTTATCTTTATTGTCTGTCCATTGATGAAAGTGCGGTGTTAAAGTCTCCAACTGTTACCGCATTAGGGTCTATCTCTTTATCTGTAATAATAGTTGATTTATATATCTGGGTGTTCCAGTGTTGTGTGCATATATATTTACAATCACCATGTCCTCTTGCTGAATTAACCCTTTTATTATTATATAATGATCTTTGTTTCTTCTTATAGTTTTATCTTTAAGTCTATTTTGTCTAATATAAGTATAGCTACTCCTACTTTTTCTTTTGTGGTTTCCATTGGCATGGAATATCTTCTGTTCCTTTATTTTCAGTCCATATGTGTCTTTGGGGGTTCAGCATGTTTAATGAAAGCAACAGATCATTGGGTTTTGTTTGCTTATCCATTCAGCCACTCAATTTCTTTTGATTGAAGAGTTTAGTCCATTTATATTCAATGTTATGAATAAGTAGGAATTTACTAGTGCCATTTTGTAATTTGTTTTTTGGTGGTTTTGTGATCTTCTTTTCCATTTTGTGAAGTTGATTTTCTCTGGCAGTATGTTTTAATCTCTTGATTTTAATTATTTGTATATCTATTGTAAGTTTTTTGAAGTTACAATGAGGCTTGCAAATAATATAACACATTATGTTAAACTGATGGCAACTTAACACTGATTACGACAACAAACAAACCAACTAACAAACAAGCAGAGAAAACTAATAAAAATCTACACTAATTTCATCCCCCCTTTAACTTTTTGTTGTTTCTATTTATATGTTACTATACTATGTCTTGAAAAGTTGTAGTTATTATTTTTGATAGGTTCATCTTTTTGTCTTTCTACTCAAGATATGAGTACTTTACTCACCACAATTACAGTTATATTATCTTGTATTAGTCCGAGTACTTATTTTTACCAATGAGTGTTGTACCTCAAGATGATTTCTGATTGCTTGTTAATGTCCTTTCTTTTAGATTGAAGATCTTTTCTTTGTAGGACAGATCTCGTGTTAATAAAGTCTCTCAGCTTTTTTTTTGTCCGACCCCCACTTTTACTTCTTCTTCATGTTTGAAGGATATTTTCACTTGATATACTATTCTAAGATAAAAGTTGTGGTTTTTTTTCCTTCAACACTTAAATATGTCATGTCACTCTCTTCTGACCTGTAAGTTTTCCACTGAGAAATCTGCAGCCAGACTTATTTGAGCTGCTTTGTATGTTGTTTCTTTTCTCTAGCTGCCTTTAGGATCATTTCTTTATCATTGGCTTTTGGGAATTTGATTACTAAGTACCTTGAGGTAGTCTTATGTGGGTTTAATCTGCTTGCTCTTCTATAACCTTCTTGTACTTGAATATTCCCTAGGTTTGGAAAGTTATCTGTTATTATCTCTTTGATTAAATATTCTGACATGATATATCTCTCTACTTCCACTTTAAGACCAAGAAATCTTAGATTTGCCTTTTTAAGGCTATTTTCTACATCTCATAGGTGTACATCATTCTTTCTTATTATTTTTCCTTTTCTCTCCTCTGATTATATAAATTCAAATAGCCTGTCTTCAAGTTTACTAATTTTTCTTCTGCTTGATCCATTCTGAGAGACTCTAATGCATTCTTCACTGCATCACTTGAATTTCACCTCCAGAATTTCTGCTTTTTTTAAAAAAAATTTAATCTCTTTGTTAAATTGATTAATTAGGATTCTGAATTCCTTTTCTATGCTATCTTGAATATCATCAAGCTTCCCTAAAACAGCTATTTTGAATTCTCTGTCTAATGTTCACATATCTCTGTCACTCTGAGATCTGCCACTGGTGTCTTCTTTAGTTTGTTTGGTGAGGTCACGTTTTCCTGTATTGCCTTGATGCTTGTAAACATTCATTAATGTCTGGGTATTGAAGAGTTAGGTGTTTATTGAATTCCTCAGAGTCTGGGCCTATTTGTACCAGTCTTCCTTGGGAAGGCTTTCCAGGTATTCAAAGGGGGTTGAGTGTTGTGATCTAGGTTTTTGGACACTGCAGCCACATCTGCATTAGGGGCCACCACAAACCCAGAAATGCTCTTGCAGATTTGTAAACGTACCACTTTGGTAGTCTTGAGTAAGATCCAAAATCCTCTGGATTACCAGGCAGAGACTCTTATTCTCTTCTCTAACTTTTCCCCAAAGAAACAAAGTTTCTCACTCCATTCTGAGCTGCCTGAAGCTGAGGGAAGAGTTATACACTTACCTCTGTGGACATTACCCCTGGGACTGTGCTGGATCAGACGTCAAGCCAGCACAGCTCTAGGTCTTGTCCAAAGCCTGTGGCAACCACTGCCTGGTTACTGCCAGTGATCACCCAAGGCCCAAGGGCTGTTTAGTCAGCAGGTGGTAAATCCAGCCAGACTTGTGTCCTTCCCTACAGGGCACCAAGCTCCTTTCTCACCCTGGGTGGGTCCAGAAATCCCACCAGTTAGATGCCAGTTAGAATGGTGATCATTAAAAAGTCAGTTTCCTTCTTTTTTGATGTGCAGTTCTCAAAGGGAGCTCTTGCCTAGAAGCATCAGCATTACCTAGGAACTTGTTAGAAATACAGATTCTTTGTTCCTACCCTAGACCTTCTGGATTAGAAACTCTGATGATCAACCTTGCAATGCCTTACACCAAGATTTTCAGGTAATTAGGACATGCTAAAGTTTGAAAACTACAGCCCTTGACTTGAATTTTTTCTATTTTCTTTGCCTTTACTTTTTAATTGTACTTCCCTTACCCCAAGTAATTAAATTAAATAAACTGTGGTGATGATCTTCTGTAAGTTTTCCCTAATTTTGAAGCTGTTCACTTCCCAATCTTTTCCTATTTTGAAGCCAGAGGGACCTTATAAAATAAGGAAGTATTGTGTTTCAATGCCTAACAATTGCCCTTAGCATGAGATGTAAACTCCTTATCACAGTATACAACTTCCTCTACAATTTGGCAATGTCCTTCTCTTTAGATTTATCTTTTCTTAATACAATTAGGTTCATTTTCAAACATACCAAACTCTTTTTAGTTACATATGTTCTTCCATATCTACTGCTTGGAACACAATGAAATGTTTTCAACTTCCTTCTTCTTATTCTTCTCATCCACTTTTAACGAGCAATCTCTAGCCTCAATTTAATTCTTACTATAAAATTCCGTATCTCTTGAAATTCTTTTTGGTACTGTAATGTTGGCCAAGTCCCCTTGATATCCATTTCTGCCATTCTCCTCCATATTACTTACATTCATTACACTTAAGTATAATTAACTTTTGAATTATTTGTCTTTATATCTGAAATTAAATTTTGTGTGCCTGTATCCCCAGTATTAGTGCTTCAGTTTTCTCATCATTAAAGTGAAGATTTAATTGTATTCCTAGGATTGCCTGAAAATTAAGTGAAATCACACTTAGCCAAGTGCTGATATTACTGCCATGATGTATTGAATGAATTAAATGTAACTCTACCCAATTACTATAATTATAAATTTGATACTTAACATCATTTAGTTATGATATGTGCAATAACTATTTTGGTTATGTTTAAATATTTGTAAATTATAAAGGTAGCTATCCATAGAAGTTGCAAATGTAGTAAATGATTCCTTTTTAATGTACAATAGGATTTTTCACTTTATTTCTATATATAATATGTAGGGTAAATGATGTGTGTTTTAAGGAAATCACATTGGGATCTATCTAAAAAATATGTCCGCTGGCAGACTGCCAAGGAAAAAGCATGATGCAGTGAAAACCAGTCAAAATAATGCTTCATTTGACACTGCAATCACAGATTATTGGATAATGAGCTTAGCTACTTTTCTTGATGATGTGCTGGTCTTGGAAGCACTTTGAAATTTTATTCAGAGGCACTTTGAAGTTTTCGCTCTCATAATTAGCAGGTGGTAAGTGGCTGGAATGAATCTTTGGAAAATCAAGGTAAACTTGATGGGTAAACATTGCAATGTTCTTTTGTCATATTAGTCTTAAACTAATCTAGCCGACTTTTGAATCTGCAAGAAATTATATACATATCTGTACACATATACACACATATATATTTGATATATATTACATACATACATATTATATGAACATATACACATATGTATTACATATAATATATATAATCAATCAAGGAAGTTAAACTTCAATAATATTGAATTTCTTACCAAATAAACAGACTGTCTTGCAATATGCTTGTGAACATAGAATAGCCAAGAAAGTGTTTTTATTTTCATTTGTTTCATGAGTTTCTTGAACAGCACAATGCCTTTTACTCTGTCTATCCTGGAACTTTATCATTTAAAATGTGTCATGTTGTGATAAATTGTTTGGTGTTGAATCCTTTGGATTTTGTTGTGCTTTTCCACCAAGCCAGTATGAAATGTCTGATGCAATCTGGCATGACAAATTATAAATGATGAGTCACCTTAGATTGATAAAAATCAGCATTTATTTATTTACTTTAAAATAATTTATTAAAATGAACATCATGAAAAGTTAGCTGTAAAGTATATTAAGGCAGGGAGTATCAAGAAGGGAAAATAAAGGTTACTCACAAGTACAATAGCTAATAAACAGATTTGACTAAACAAATCCATCACATGTAATTTAGAACATTTGCTATTAGTTAAACATATAATCCCTACAAATAACTCAGATTTGTTTGCAAATCTATGTATAAAGTACATAATATATTGGCAATTGGACTACAGTTACATTTTCTGCTCCATGTTGAAAATGTAAATACTGAAATGTTGAAAAGCTTTTTCTCTGGATGCTGGAATTAGTTGACAGATGGAGATACAAATTTACACCCCCCCCCCCTGCCCCCCGCCCCCCCCCCCACCCCCGCCACCACACACACATGCCTATGAGGGGACTTTTGAAGGCAGGAGCTTCTGTTTATGCATTAGGCCCTTAAGTCTTCAAGTTGCTGATCAGAAAATCATTTGAAAGGAAAATCTCTCAGCCTCACAACGTTGCATTTTATTCTGTAAGGTTATGGTAGCCTTCCTAGAGGCTATTGTGCTACTTCTTATCTTAGTCTCTAAAATAGAATCATTTACCTGCCTTTGCTTTTTTTGTGTGGCGATACTAGATTTTGTTTTAATTTATCACAGTTGATGACACATTTCTTTAGAAAAGGTTAGTCTTCGGGTTCTACCTCCTTCCAGGCAATAATTATCTCAAATTTATTTTCAATCCACTCTAGAGGGTCATTCAAGCACCTTGTGATACTAAAAAAAATATGATTTCAAAGTATATACAGAATTCAACTACAGTATTTACCATCATTTCAAGACCACCACAGTGGTCCAAGGCCTCATAATTCTTCCCTGAATTATTCCAATGGAATCTTAACTAACTCTCTGCTTCTGCCTGGATCCCCCTTCTGTCTCTGCTTAAGAAAGAAGCCAAGTGCTGCTATTCTTATACTATGCTACTCTTGTGCTCCAGCCTTGCCATCATTTGTAATTTCAGTTAGACTAAAACTAGAGCTGTATGTATGATATTTGAGGGTCTGTGTATTCTGGCTCTCCCTGACCACTCTTCCCTTGCCAATTACCACCTTTCCACTCACTGACTGATCCACTTTTATTAACTTCCTCCCTATTCCTCAAATACTCAGGCCTATGCACAACTAAAAATTTGCTGCTTACTCTGCAGGGAATGCTCCTCCATAAGATGTACGTAAGTCTCAATTCCTAGTTTCCCTTCAATCTTTACAATAAAACTAGATTCTCAGTGAAATCATTCCTGATCACCCTACATAAAATTTTATTCACCTCTCTGATACTATGTGATACTTCCCTGCTTTATTTTTTCCTTTGCTGTTATAATTATCTGCATTTTATAACGTATTTATCTTATTTATTGTCTGTTTCCTTCACAACAGTGTAAGTACTGTGAGGGCAGGGATTGGTTTTCTTTCTAGAAATTATGTTACAATCACTTAATAGTTTTTTAATTGTTGAAAAAATGTATGAGTAATTCAATATGTGACCACTTCCCAAGCAACTGAAATAATTTTACCATAAAGAATTTTTATACATAAAAGTGTTCATTGAAATTGGATTTACCATATCACACCTTATTCTTACATAAGTAGTTTTTGCTTTGTACAAAATTTAGTTACTACAGATTAGTTAAATAACACCAGTCCCCCAACAGCACAGTTCAAATTTCAGTTATGGTGGTATATTAAGTGTAAGTAATTGCATGAAGTACAAACTTTGCTGCTAGCACTTAAGTCCACAAATCATTGTGTCAATAGAAGATCTACCTCATGATCAGTGACCAATCATACCACCTTTTCAAAGTATGTGGGAGATTGTCACTACATATATTTTATTCAGTTCATGCACAGATGCAAAGCATGTACTTGTATTGACTCCTTACCACCCAGAGATAAATCCTTGTGACATTTTACAAAAAGAGATAATAAAAATAGAGGATTGGCCAAGAAAGATAAAAGCATTGCAAATAAATGAAAAGTGATAACACTGGAAGTGAAATTTGAATCAACATAAGTAGAATTTCAGAAAAAAAAAAAAATAGCCGACCATGGGAATATTGACATTGCCACTATTTGAGAGCTTCTAGATATACTTCCAAAGAAACACAGCAGAAAAAAAACTCTGAGATATAAAGGAGGAAAGTGCTAGTGACAAAATGGATGAAGAAGGCTCAGACAAAGTGATACCAACAAAGAAAAAACAAAAAACAAAAAACCTTCACTTTAAAGGGACACTTGGAGATGTTTCATGCAATTGGAAGGGCAAAGGATAGAATGCTGGAGCTGATCCAGATTTAGAAAGAAATATGACAATTTGTTAAGACATAGGCAAGATGCTTTCTCTCCCTTTTCATATCATAAGTAATAGGGTAAAAAGATAAGCACTGTCCAAACTACTCTGGCTATGTCATTTACAAAGAAATAAAATAGTTTAATTCTCAATGTTTCTAAAGCTTTAAAATACAGTGCATTAAGCAAATATTAATTATATTTTTTCATTTCTTATAAAAATAACTGACATCAAGAGAATTTTTAATGTTTTAACAAAAAGTTTTAAAAGTCACAGAACAGGTATTAAGATCACCCTGCATGATTTCATATTGCCCTGTAATTATTATGGTCACACACTACCATGCAGAGTGAGGACTGCATATATTTAAGTTCTCAGTATGTCTAGATTGTAGTTCCTGATCTTTTATCAAAAACTCATGCTACCTAAGATCAATTACTCTACCTCTCTGAATCTAAGGTTTCTGAGATTCAACTTCACTAGATTATCTCAAAGGACTGCCTCATTCCAAGTTGTTCTATCTAAATATATTTTCTAGAGATTGATTTTGCAGTATCTGCTATGCTTCTGTTCATGTTTGTGATATGAAAAAGGTTGATATAAAAATAAAAAATAACATTATTGTAGTTCTTGAAATATTGAAGATTATAAACTTTTTTCTAATATTATATTGATTTGACATGATAAAATGAAATACAAATGTAAATCCAAGTATTTTGTTTTACTTGTGAGATTACCAAATATTACTTCAAGAAATTGTATTTCATATGGCTGATTTGGATTATTCTTTAATTTTATTTTCATGAAACATGTATAAATATTTTGACTTATATGCATGGCTTATGGGGTGATTTTTACTCTTTGTATCAATGAAACCATCTACTTCTTTGCTGCCCTTTTATCTTAGTAAAAAAAATTAGTAGTAAATATTTCTTGAGGTTTTACTATTTTATTTCTAAATATTTTTTCCAACTAGTCTTCTCAATACCCTTTGAAATTGATATTGTCACTATTTTAAAAATAAGGAAACTGAGGTTAATAAAGTATAGGCAAATTAGTCAAAATTAGCTATCTTTATGCTTTCGATCTAATTAATCTTTTCATTAATCTATCCATGATGACATTAATATGAGAGTTGTAAACCCCAATGCATTGGAATAGGCAGATAATGGAAATAATGCTGATTGGTTGAGAGAAAAACAACAAAAGCATCATATTAAACAGCAACTGATAAAAATAATGTTAGACGATTCTTGTCCATTTATAAGTAGAATGCTTCCCAAAGGTACCAGCGTGCCTCTCTTTCTCTGTCTCCCCCTTATCATTATTCTCATGAAGAAATGAAAACAACAGCGACAAAAACCAGAAATCCACATATGTATTTTAAATAAGAAATTATTCAATGTTTACAACTAATGCAAAGTTTTAGTGACATTTTGGTGGACCCAGTCAATCTGCTCTGTTGTCTGGATGCAGCTTGTGTGCTGAGAGTTGATGACATGTGCGTTAAAGGGATAGCAGGAACAACAATAGTCCTGTTTTTGGTCAACCAGCATGTATCTACTGAAGAGGTGCCTTTCACAGAGCACTGGCTACACCAGACTCTGCATACACCTTCATCGTGCTCATATTCCAACTCATAATTTGTCACTTATTTTAGTATATGTATTTTGTATTTTCAGAACTCATAAAATTGTGTACTAATACTTAACTGTTTCCAATTTCCATTACATGTACTTGGGAGGAAAAAAAATCATTGAAAATGTTGCCTTCAGATGACTAAAATAAAGGATATTTATCAATTAAATCATGTTTATTATATTTCCTTACTTTTTTTAGGCTAGTTAAGTGCAGCAGTGGGAGTGAAGAAGGAACAAATAAGTCTGTAAACTGGTTGTGATCAACTAGTGGTAAACACTACTGTACTCATACCAGCCTTGTTTGATTTATTTTTAAGACATTTTCTCAACCTGACAAAAAACAAATAAATAAAAAGAGGCAATGAAATGATAGTCTTCTTGATTGGTGTTTCTTGTCAGCAACTTTATTAAAAATGAAAACTCAGGTGTCTACCACATCATACTGAATATTTCATAGTTAGACATGCTCTCCTCCAGAGCTCTTGGCACATCTTATCAATTTTAATGTGGTGGTACACAACTATCTTTCATGTAAGGAGACATAATATCTCGTTTTATTGATGGGCGATTGGGAGCCAGAAAACTAACATAACTTCGTTAAAGCCACATAAAGATTAAAAAAGCATATACCAAGTGGTTACTGGTTTTATAGAGGAGAAATTCTAAATTTTACTACTTAATATTATCACAGAAGAATTTTTTTAAATTGCCAATTTTAAGAAATGAAATCATAGGTAATCAATTTCCAGGGTAGTTTTTCTCCATTTTAATTACAAAGAGGGGGAAATACGATTATTTGGGAAGAAAAGGATATAAGAAAATACAGTAAATAGGCTTGCCTTAAACCGTAGCTATGTGGCTTTAGTGCCATGTGGGCCACAATTAGGGTTTCTTTTGGAGAGCCTACTCCTTTCTCTGTTTCAGAAGCTCATCTAGATTGCCTGATTTTTCATTGTCATTATTGCCCTTACCTTGTAGTTTTCTTATTTTAAATAGCCTCTGTTATTTCATTGGCTGGCCTATTCTGAATTCAATTTGAAAAACAGTTTATATTGAATAATTTCTTTCACTTTTGTTTATCTAACTGGTTTCTAATTTTTAAATTACTGTAATATGAACAATCTTCCTATTCAATTTTATACTGAAGTTTTGAGGTATTGAAAGAGATTTAAATTATATTTTTAACAATAAAGCCTTCTGGACAGGCGCGCTGGCTCACGCCTCTAATCCTAGCACTTTGGGTGGCTGAGACAGGTTGATCACTTGAGTCCAGGATTTTGAGACCGGCCAGGGTGACATGGCGAAACCCAGTCTCTACAAAAAAAAAAAAAAAAAAAAATTAGCTGAGTGTGATGGCACACGCCTGTGGTCCAGCTACTCAGGAGTCTGAGACGGTTGTATTGCTTGATTCTGAGATGCAGAGGGTGCAGTGAACTGAGATAGCACAACTGCACTCCAGCCTCGGCAACAGAGTAAGACCCTGTCTCAAAAAAATTAAAATAAAAAAAGCCTTTGATATTATTTTTCTATGGATGCAGTTTTCACCCCAGTTTAGCCATCCACATATCCAGCTACTGCATATATCTATCAGGAGACCTATTTGTGAAGTTAACTTAATGATCTTCAAAAAGTCTGAGTTGGATATGTTACTAATTAGAAAGTTAGCATATTTACTTCTATTTATGATGACAAATTATTAACACTTCTGTTAATCATCAAATTTTTGGAAATAACATGATGAAATAATAATCTCAAAGCACATTGACATATCTTTTATAGTTGGAAACCTGCTTGGATTTTAATTTGTGACAAGTGCCATCTAATAATGTATTCACCAAATATTTCTACATAATACTGATCTAATATATGAAAAATATTTTATTTCTATAACTGTCAGAACTAAGCCACTAATAATTAATTTTATGTTTTTATGTATAATGATAATTACATGAATAGTTATAATATTAACTGAAGAGTTTATATGAACTAAGTATAATAATACACAATATTACAGTTATCCCTTGGTATCTGTGAGGGATTGGTTTCAGAACTTCTCTTGGATACCAAAATTCACAGATGCTCAAGTCTGTGATATACAATGGCATAGTATTTGCATATAGCCTATGCATATCCTCAAGTATATTTGAAATAATCCCTAGATTATTTATAATACCTAATACAATGTAATAGTTATGTAAGTCATTGTTACACGCTATTGTTTAGAGAATAGCGAGAAGAAAAATGTCTTTACATGTTCAGTACAAATACATTTTTTTTGCAAATTTTTTTAATCTGCAGTTGGGTGAATCCACCTATGAGTAACTCAAGATATGGTGGGGCAACTTTAATGTGTAATACTTTGATTTTTTTTTTTTTTACTTTATATTGGAACAACAAAACCATATTTTGAACATTCTTTCTTGGTAATCATTTGTAGTAGACTTGCCACATTTTCATTATTGAGTAACATCTCCTCGCCACTTCAGATAAAACTTGAGATAATCCATTGTGCTTTGTCTTTGTGTTCAGAACTCACTTTACCTTTGTTAAGCTGAAGGAAGGTGGAAGTTTTATATCTATTTTTGTTCAGACTTGATAGTTTCTTTTTCCATAAGAACATCAGGTATGTTCTGCTCAGTTTCATCTTCTAGACACATTGAACTCCTTCACTTTTCTCCTCCAAAAAGAGAAAATTGCTACTTCCAAAGAACTTTGATATTTTGATTTACAGGATGTTATGTTATATATGAATGCCTGATTTATAAACTATAAGTACTAATAGGGGTTTCCTAGAAAAGAGAGAGTAATATTGAAGAACGATGAAGGTGATGTGACTGCCATTGCAATTAAAATCCTCCTACAGGCAAAGACAAAATGTAGTAGAGGCTGGGAAGTAAAGGAATCAAAAGAATTAGGCTGGCAGGGTAAAAAGAGTTTAATGAGTTGATTACCAGTTGAGTTTAAATTAGTATGAAAACTCTCAGGGAGTTCAGTGAATACATGGATATACACAGTGGTAGAATATGAGAGATACTGAAAGAGAATATTGATGTGTGTTGGTGCACACTTAAACAGTTGTAGGTGGCAACAGTTGTGGGGAAGGATCATTTTTCCCAGAGCACTAAAGCAACTAGGTTATGGGCAGTAGCAGGATGACATCAGCAAGTAGACTGTAAGACTAGAGTGAAATAAGATGAGTATATTTTTCTGGGCATGGGTCTAACCTTTATTGAGATTCAGGAATAACCAAGGGGAATTGGAAAGGAATCCCAAGGGAAGTTATCCATTAAAATGTTAAGTATTAAAATTATAATATTCCCTAATTATAGAATTTACTATATATATTAAACTTTCTCCTTTCACAGGAGGATTTAAATCAACTTTATGGTGTGTACCATTCACAGATTATTTTAGAATGCGATTACTGGAAAATAATAAATGAGACTATAAATAAATAAATAGATATAACTCATTCATAATTTAAGTCAAGCCCTTGGATGTTATTCCCAAGGGATTGAAGTCGATGATTGCGAATAATTCAACTATTTAAAGTTTTTTGTCACGTTATTTAAGTGATGCATTAATTATTTACACATCAGAAAATTGTTACACAATTGTAGACAATTAGAAAAAATTTAGACAATTTTCATAAACTTTTATTCCTTCATTTCTACAGAACTGTTTCTCTTTTTTCTCCCTATTGACATTTAAGCCTCTTCTATCCAGAATACCCTAAATTCAAGAAGCACCATGTTCCTTTCATAACTTTTCTTCTATTTGTAGTTAAACATACAGATGTGGCTGAGGAAACTGTAGAGAATGTGTAGTGGTCTTTATGTATCTGGAAAACTCCCTGATACATGAAATGGTTCTTTCCTGGGTCTACACAAATACATTTTTCTAAATTTGTAATTTAAAAATGAAGAAGTTTGCATGCCTTGATGTGCTTGGCCTACTACTTCAGCACAATATTTTGTTACTGAGATTGCTTGGTAACCACAGAAAGACACTAACGAGAAGCTGCCATGGTGATCTTAGGAATGCTACAAAAGTCTTACATGTAAAATTCATTAGGGCTGCATTATTGTATCGAGTTCATCTTGTTTACAACATTGTCATTATTTTCTTCTTCCCCACTTAGGATGAAAACTCAAGAATTTTTCCATTCAAATAAATACAGTACTTTTTCTCATACTTGACTCATCAATTGGAAGCATATTTTGGTATTTCTGCCCCTTACAAATGGTAGAAGTTGAGGACTGTTTACTCACTATACGTTAGATATTTTCAGACTTCAAATCAGTTGCGTTTTCAGGGGGCTCTGCAGATCACTATGTGCTCCATTGAGACTCACCTTAGAGTGCTAATGCATAGCAGATGCACAGTTGTTAAGGAGCTGCCATAGAGACCACATTTTTTGAAACCAGAATGAGACTTTGTGAGGGTTCGGTGTGTGTCATTTGCAATGTTCCTATCGTGATGACTATTGCCATTTATACAGTGTCATTAAGTTGCTTCTAAGATGCTTTGTGCATTTTATTCAATTGGTTTACTGTTTGAATTTGGAACTTCCAGAGTTTTCCAGCTAATCCTTGCTTGTCACACACTTTCTTTTTTAAGGAAGATGAAGTAAATTTCTTAATTACTCTAAGATCTGCTTTCTTCTGTTTCTTTTCTGTCACTATTACATTTGTCCTTCTTATGGCATTCAGTCACCTATTAAACTTTTTATAGTAGAATTTTTATAATTCTTACAGTTTTCATTTGTCATCTATCACAGTTCAAGGCACATATGGTAAGAACTCTGTGCAAATGAAAATTTTGTCTTTTCTCTCTCTTTTTCTTTTCCTTTCTTTGAAAATATTTCCACAAATAATTCAAGTATGAACGTAGACTTAAATAACTATTTTGCTAAAATGATCACATCACCCACTGATTCTTAGAAGAGTATGAAAGACCACAAGAATCACCTAGAGAAGGGACAAAGGGAAAGAAAGGGTCGGAGGATAATGCATATGCAGTGGTTCTGATGCCTTCTACCAAGCACTGAAAGAATTCACTAATTTATTGCTACGCCTCAAGAGAGGCCTTTGATTAGCAGCATCAGCATCATCATCGCTAGAGAACTTGTTAAAAATGTGGATTTCTGAGCCCCACTCCAGAGCTGTGATAGAAATTCTAGGGCTGGAGACCAGCAGTCTGGGTGCTAACAAGCTTTATTAGTGATTCTGAGGCATACTGATGTTTGAGAACCACTAAAGTCTAACCCCCTACATTTACAGGTAGTAAACAGGGGACAGAGAAGTTCTGCAGTGGTTCAATATCACATAGCTAATTTAGGCGTGCTGGTTTACATCATCAGGTTCTCCTTAACCATACCACATGATAAATATTTTCAAGTTCGTTTTTGATTGTGTTTGACAATTATTACTTCTCCTAGAATTTAACACGTTCTTATAACACTTAATTTTACATGCAGAAATCATCCAGCAAGTACAATAAACACTGTAATACTTAGGAATTTGAATTGGCTAGATAATTTCTGAATATTCAGCTCTCAATCTTCTATGATACTATTACACTTCATTTCACAATTCAATTTTTAAAACTTAAACATCTCTTTTTCATGTACAGTTAACATAAAATTAAAGCAGAGCTTCTCAAATGGCATTTTCTTTTATTACGACAACTTGATTTATTTTTTGATGGCACAATGTATTTTCACAAATCCCATTTCTCTACTGTAGCATGGCTGCACCATACAAACTTGTATTCTTTGTGCATATCCCTATGATATGGAGTTTTCTGTTTTTACTTATACAGGTCTGCCTACTGGGTATATTTATATTTATTTGAACTACTTTATAGAAGGGTGTCTACATGAATAATCCAGAAATGAACATTAGAGAGGTGAAACCCTAGTGAGTCTTTTCTTAGAAATAGGACTTTGTTCATACTAAAAATTGCACTTAGTCTACCCGCTGTGGGTGACTATTTGAGCATCTTTCTGTCTCCTTCCTTTTAATACTTGTAAAGAGAAAAAAATATTTGATTTGTGAAATAAGGTTTTTAGTAGAAAATTTAAGTTGACCAAGGCTTAAAACCTATCTGAAGATAACTTAAAGACAATCAAGAAATGACTATCATGTTTTCTTGCATCTTAAATGGGAAATCCCTTAGTATCATTTTACAAGTGTCACCATTACCACATATGGGCTAGCTCAAGAAGCACTGTGTATGATGATTAAGAGAATGGTTTCAAGTATTGTAGGCATAGTAATGGCCTCTCCAACGATGTCTATATTCCACTTCCTGGAACTACGAATATGTTACATTACATGGCAAAGGGGAATTAAGGTTGCAGATGGAATTAAGGTTGCTAATTCATTGACATTAAAATAGGAAGATTATCCTGAATAATCACAAGTGTTCTCACAAGTAGAAGAAAAAAGCAGAATTGGGGAGTCAGAGAGAGATGTGGCTACAAAATACAAGTCAGAAAAAAGCAAAGGGGGCCAGAAATCCAAAGAATGTATGTGTTCACTCTATGGAAGCAGAAAAAAAACAAAGAAACAGTTTCTCCTAGGATGCCAAGAAAGTAACACAGTCCTGCTAACAACTTTATTTTAACCTGCTGAGACAAATGCAGGAATTTAAACCTACAGAACTATAAGATTTGTATTATTTTAACCCAGTAAATATGTGACAATTTTTTATAGCAGCAGTAGAAAACTAATGCAGAGAATAACAAAGATCTGGATTTGAATCTCACCTTTATCTCCCACTAGTCTTATCCTTGAGTAGCTTTTAACAACTTTCAAGCTTCAGTTTATTCATCAACAAAATTGGTATAGAATAAGAACCTACATAATGACATTGCTTTAAAGATTAAGTAAAAAAATTGCAAAGTGCTTGTCATTGGCTTTAGTATATGAATATATCAGCTATTGTGTACAAAAGTAGAATTTTTTTGATATGTGATTTAAAGGCTATTTTTTTAAGTAATTGGTCTTCTTATTGAATCTTGAGTATGTCTCAACACTTTATAAGGGTGCAGTACATGTTCATGGAATTTAAGTGTGCATTTGGTACCACTGAAATAGAGAATCATTACCTAGCCTTTATTTTGGAAAGACATATTTAGAGTCAATAAATATGTACAAAATTCTAAAATGAATACATTTAAATAATCATCTCCAATAAATAAATAAGGTAAATTTTTATCCAATATTAATATCACAGTTTATCAGGTTTACCTATAGCATCATTTTGTATATTTTTAATTTATGGGTAAATGATAGGTGTTTATATTTATGGGCTATAGGAGATTTTTTATACAAGGTATAATATCTTAGCATAATTATTGATGATAATTGGGATATATGTTTTCAATCTTTCAGTAAAATTTCATTTCTTGGAAATGTAATGTAATCTGTTGTTTATTCATTATTAAAAATTTTTTTGTTAACTCATAGTGAAAATAAAGTTCCGATCTAAAGTACCCTTAATTTACTTGCCAAATTTTAGATATATTTTCCTGTTACGTTAGCATGATATATATTTGTATGCCCCCTTCTACCTTGTTTTGAGGAGATGAATAAATGCCTTAAGCAGCTGCATGTGCTGTATATTATCCTATTTCTCTGAAGAAATTTTAAATTTTTGCACTGAGCAGAAAGTGGCATAATATTAAGTATTTAACAAGGGAAGTCAGAAGAAGGTAATATTATCCATAGAGACAGTTTTATTATGAAGATTTTTCATCAAGATTTCTCACTTCCCTGGGACTCTTCAAGTATGTGGTTATTTTTTAAAATAAATTTCCAAAAAGTAATAAATTTTAACTCATTTAACTGTGAATACTGTTCCTTTCAATTCTGAATTACGCTTTATTATCCTTCCCCACCTGAACAGAGATTTACATGAGTTTGCTTTGATTCTATGATTTCTCCAATTTTTAAAATCTTAAAAATGTTCTATATCCCTTGAAAATAATTACATTATTTCAGAAAATACTAAAGCCTTAATGGATTAAAACAGAGGAAATTTCCAGGGACTAGGATTTTTTCCTCCAAACTTCAATATGGGCACCTTTAATTATGTTTTTAGATAAATTAAGTGTTTTATAAGTTGTTAGTATTGACCGATATTTACGCAGTGCAATTTTTGCTATAATAATGCGTGTGTTCCCAGTGAGCTTTTAGATATCTTTCCACATGGAAACTCAATTAGGGATTTTTCTGTATAACAGATGCTTTTAAGAATTATGAGGGTTGTTAAGAAGAAGAAAAAATGATTTGAATTATTGAACTTGAGGTGGGATTTATATTTAATGGAAAATATTTCCACACTTTTTGTCCAGAACTGAGGGCTCAGCCAGGGTTACTTGAAAGAAGAAACAAGAATGAGAAAGGATAACTACCCATTTTTACTTCTCAAACCCATTCTACCTTCAGTAAATACACGGTAGATGTCTGTGCATGTTGTTCCGGAGCATTAGGTTAATTTTATGCTGTTCCTTTCTTTGGCTGGGAGAGGAGGGAATGTTTGTATTGTATTTTATTTTATTTTATTTTATTTTATTTATTTTATTTTATTTTATTTATTTTTTATTTTATTTTATTTTATTTTATTTTATTTTATTTTATTTTATTTTATTTTATTTTTTTGAGATGGAGTTTTGCTCTTGTTGCCCAGGCTGGAGTGCAGTGGTACAATCTCGGCTCACTGCAACCTCTGCCTCCCAGGTTCAAGCGATTCTCCTGCCTCAGCCTGCCAAGTAGCTGGGATTACAGGTGCGAGCCATCATGCCTGGCTAATTTTTGTGTTTTTATTAGAGACGGGGTTTCACCATGTTGGCCAGGCTGGTCTCGAAGACCTCAGATACCCTGCCCGCCTTGGCCTCCCAAATGCTGGGATTACAGACATGAGCTACTGCGCCCAGCCTAACTTTTTCTTTTTATTTTTCTTTATTATTATACTTTAAGTTCTGGGATACATGTGCAGAACGTGTAGGTTTGTTACAAAGGTATACATGTTCCATGGTGGTTTGCTGCATCCATCAACTCGTAATCTACATTAGGTATTTCTCCTAATGCTATCCCTCCCCTAGGCCCCCACCCCCCGACAGGCCCCAGTGTGTGATGTTCCCCTCCCTGTGTCCTTGTGTTCTCATTGTTCAGCTTCCACTTATGAGTGCGAACATGAGGTGTTTGGTTTTCTGTTCCTGTGTCAGTTTGCTGAGAATGATGGTTTCCAGCTTCATCCATGTCCCTGACACAACAAAACATTTCAGGCCAATATCCTTGATGAACATCATGCGAAAATCCTGAGTTTTTTTTTTTTAATGAAAGAAATCCATCTTGACAAATTCAAACTCATCTAATGAGTGCTCCAGTGGTCCAGATTCTCCAGCAATTATTTATTGGGTGGATGCTGGTCCAATTTAAGGTTGTTTCCTGCTGTTATGTTGGCTACACACCCACTTTTTAATCTGCTAAGAGGGATCTACAGATTTTTTATTCTCAGACTTCAATCTGACAACTTCATATCAGGATTGAACAAGGTGAAATTGGAATAAAATTGGTACAGCTGAAGTAACTCAAATGTCCATATTACTTCTTTCCCTCTCATTTATGACAAATTTTTAAGTAATTTCATGGGTAACTGTCCTTTAACAACATTGAATTGATTTTGAATAAGATTATCAGCAATAAGAAGATGTTTTTCTGTATGAAGAAGAAATATCTTAGTGGCCTGGATAAGAATCAAGAAGAGGTAGTCAGATTTCATATTTGTAATGAGATCTTACTTTTGTTTAAAATCTTTATTTTAATTAAGGTAAAATTTACATTAAGTGAAATGCACTGGAAATTTAATTGTTTCTCAAGTTTTCAGCTATTAAGAATAAGGCAGATATAAATATTCCTGTACATTTTTGGTGGAATCCCACATTACAAGCCCCAGAACACTCAAAAGCATCTGCTATACAGAAGAATCGCTAGTGGAGTAGCCATTATATGGATTCCGGGAGTAGAATTTCTGTTTTGTAGCTTTGATTTATATTTAACTCTATGAGAAAATGACAAATAATTTTCAAGATAATTTTGCCATTTTATACACCTACCAGCAATGTATGAGAGCTCCAGTGGATCTGTGTCCTGTTCTCACCAATATTTGGGGTAGTCAGTCTTTTAAATTTTAGTTAATTCCTTAAACATGAAATGGTAACTCACTGAGATTTTCATTAACATTTTCCTTATGGCTAATCTTCTTGAAGGTCTTTCCTGTGTCCATTACCCATTCTTGTATCTTTTGTTGTGAATTCTCCCTTGCAGTCTGTTCCCATTTTTCAATTGGTTGTTTTCTTTGTTATTTGTTTGCTTAGTTGTAAACTTTCATTATATGCTCTGAAAAATGTTCTTTGTCAGATATATGTATTGCAAACATTGTACCAGTCTATGACCTGCAGTTTCATATCTTAACAGAACCCTTTGATTCATCCATTTTTTTAAATTTGAAGAAGTCCAACTATTTATCTTTTAATTTTATAGTTAAGATGGTTTTTGTTTCCTCTCTAAGACCTATTTGCCTATTTCTAGGTCTTGAAAATATTAGAAGCTTTGTTTAGTTTTAATTTTTAAGTCCAGCTATATAAGCCACCTCAAGTTACTTTTTGTGTAAGGTGTAAAGTAGGGGTTGAGGGCCGGGCGCTGTGGCTCATGCCTGTAATCCTAGCATTTTGGGAGGCCAAGGCGGGTGGATCACCTGAGGTCAAGAGCTTGAGACCAGCCTGGCCAACATGGCGAAACCTCGTCTCTACTAAAAGTACAAAAATTAGCTGGGCATGGTGGCGGGTGCCTGTAACCCCAGCTACTCGCGAGGCTGAGGCAGGAGAATCGCTTGAACCTAGGAGGCAGAGGTTGCAGTGAGCCGAGATCATACCCTTGTACTCCAGCCTGGGCAAAAGAGCAAAAACTCCGACTCAAAAAAAAAAAAAAAAAAAAAAAAAAGAGGGGGATTGAGGTTCAACTTTTCTCATGCATTATCCAAATAAAAATACCATATATGCCTTGGTCTGTTTCTGGACTCTCTATTTCGTTTAATTTATTAAAATATCTAGCCTTATGTCAATAACCTGCTTTCTTGATTATATAGCTTTATAGTAAGTCTTTTAATCAGTTATTCTAAATCCTTCAACATTGTTCTTTTTTCACTATTGTTGTGAGTATCCTAGTTCCTCCATATGTTTTTTTAGTTATTAACTTATTGCCTTTTATTTACGTATTTAACCTTCTCTATTCTGTTTCTGATGCTGGAAATTGGACTGTGCAAGCTATGTTTTTCTGAGCATGACAAACAATAAGGTGAGAGGGACTACTTTCCACCACCACCCCGTCCCCCTTTTTTTTTTCCTGGAAGACTCATAGAAGCTCAAAGTTTCTGTAAACAGTATTCCAGAGTCCCCTCGGTGGCAACTATAGTTTCTACTTGCTGGCATAGCAGCAGTACTCTCTTCTTAGGGGCCTAGATCCCCACCGAAAAAATGGTTTGTTCCTTAGCAGCAGTGTCTCCTCTTTCAGACCTTGGATTCCAGTG
Source organism: Homo sapiens (assembly GCF_000001405.40). NCBI lineage: Eukaryota > Metazoa > Chordata > Mammalia > Primates > Hominidae > Homo > Homo sapiens. The sequence goes on along the minus strand of NC_000005.10, from coordinate 100,010,502 downwards.
CTATTGGCCCTTTCCTGAGAGGCAAGCGCCACCTGCGTACCACCTCTTCAAAACTGAGTTGCAATGCTAGAGGGTCCCTCTCTAAGTGGACCTTTGTTCATGCTTGAAATTTAGATTTTTCCCTATGGGGAGAGAGATTGGTAAAAATTTTAAAAATACTTTATCATTGTAAAATTTTCACATCATATTCATTTTTCTAAATAAATATAATTCTTATTCTAGTCTTATAAATATTCTTATACAATATTTTATATTCTTATAAAAACAATATAATTCTTATTATATTCTTATAAAATAAACTTGGAAGTGTCCCCTTCTAAATTTTCTGAAAAAACCTGTGTAATATTATAATTCGGTTTTCTTTAAATATTTCAGAGAATTCACAAGTATAATCATCGGACTTGCAGTTAAGTTAATTAATTATAACATTTGGAATTCCAACAAACTAAAATACCATATGTTGAGAAGAAAATCTATTATCTACAGATAGGTATAGTAGAATTGTAGGTATAAATTGAACTTAACAACCCAAATGAGTACATATTTAAATGTTATATATTAAAGTAATAAAGTATACAATAAAATGAATTGATGTCTTCATAATGACCTGGAAATGGGTCTTAGAATTTGAAATTCTTGGAATTTTTCAAATTCTAAGCCCTGTAATTTTCACCAAAGAAATGGTGGTATAAAGATATCCCTCAAGACCTAACCCAGGCCTACACTCTCTTCTTTATACTCCCAGCTCCATTGCACTATGAGGGCCTCAAATCCAACCTCTATCCACCTCCATGTGGCCATTCTGCAAAACTGGAAGTGCCCTCATCTGCAGCACAGCCTTTCTTTAGCATGGTTTCAGGGAAGAGGACTGCTTAGGCCTTGAAATAGTACTTGGGACAATTTGGACAGCAAACATCAAGATCACAAATGCCCAGAATATGGGCTAGAAGGAGATGTCAGGCTTGGGTTTGGCAGCTGTTCTGGGCATAGGGAGGGACTCCTTACTCCATGGGGAAGGGTTCCGCTGAAGGAGGGCGACAGTGAGATTCCTAGAGCATAAAGCCCAGGGCATGGACCCTCTCTTCTGTCTCTAAAGGTGATTCTGCTTACAATCCACATTCACATATTAAAAATGCATATTGTAGATTACATATTTTGATTCTGACTCTTTATAATATGCAGATTATTCAGCAGCCAACAAGCAATATTCTTCATATTCTCATTATTCAAGAAAAGGCAATTCTATTCAAATTGCTTTATTGCCTGGATTTACTGTAATGAGTATAAATAAGTTGCATAAAAATAGATTGATAAAAGCTATTTGAAATATCTAAAACTGATGATCGAATAATATAGATAATATTTTAAAACCTCTTGCAATTTAACATGAAAAATAGAAACATTCCAAAAGAAGCTAGCAAGGGCTATGAAGAATTTAAAGAAACCCAGAAGACTAATAAACATAAAGAGAAAATCTCAAACTTTCCCACACTCACGTCAGTGGAAATTAAAAGAAGAAAGACTTATCACTTGTTTACTCTATTTACTATCTAGATTATTAACATGGAATTCTAAGTAATCCATCCTAGGATATAAAAAATATGTCTGAATGAATTTCATAAGCCTTTGGATAACATGAGGAAATTGATCTTTAAATCGTCAAATATGGTTTTAAGCAAATACTTCTCTAGCTGCATGGACATTAAAGAGGTTAAAATATGAGATATGCGCTGTAAGTGTTTGAAGACATAGTGAAGATGCATTTAGAAGCAGTCTGTTCTAGTATTAGTTGATAAATTACAATAAATATTAGTTGATAAATATTATTCTAGTATTGGTTGATAAAAAATAAATCTACTATTAATTGATAAATACTACAAAGGCTTATTTTACTTGAGAATTCCATGGTAAGATTTTAGAACTCCATACCGCATAAGAGAATGGAAGACAAGCTACGGGTATACACTGAAGTGTTATATTTGCATAAAAAAATTGTGGTTGTCCATTAGCTAATTATAGTAATTTGTTTGTTCAGATTTATTGAATCTTTTCATTCCTCTAGCATTCCTTTGTAACTTCCTTTCTCATGCCTGAAATTTAATTGCAAGTTGCAGTTTGATAGTCTTATCAACCCAGCAGCTGGCATACACCTGAGGAATAAAACAAAAGTGCACGTTGGGAAACACACACAAGAATCCAATCAAGACGAAAAAGAAAATTAAATATGCCTACAGTATGCAAATATTAAACGCACAATTTTTCCTTGCTTATTTTTCCTGATATTTCTTTACTTTATATAATCATTATGTACATCCACCATTTTACACACACACATTTTCTAAACAAGTGTGAATAAATTAGTAACTTAAATAGTTCACCTTCTGGAGGATACTAATCCTAAGTCAAGCGATTATACACTTTTTACAAAAGGAGTCCTAGAAAGTCATTTACAGATACAGTTAGCTTTAGAGTTATACATGATCATGGCTCACTGCAGCCTCAAACTCCTGGGCTCAAGGTGTTCTACTGCCTCAGCCTCTTGAGTAGCTAGGACTAAAGGTGCATGCAACCGTGCCTAGATAATTAGAAAAAAAATTTTTTGCAGAGATGGGGTTTTGCTATGTTGCTCAGGCTGGTCTCAAACTCCTGGCTTCAAGAGATCCTCCTGCCTTGGCCTTCCAAAGTGCTAGGATTACAAATGTAAGTCAGCATGTCTAGCCGTTTGTTGTTGTTGTTGTTGTTGTTTTTTCAGATTGATTTCTTGTAGTGTATAGAAATGCCACTGATTTTTGTATGTTGATTTCATATACTGCAACTATGAAACCACTAGAAGAAAACATTGGGGAGACACTTCAGGATATTTAGCCAGGCAAAGATTTTTGGGGGTAAAATCTCAAGCACAGGCCACAAAAGCCAAAATAGACAAATGAAATTACATCAAGCTGAAAAGAATTTTGCACAACAAAGGAAACAATCAACAAAATGATGATAAATCCTCCAAAATGGAAGAAAATATTTGTGAACTATCCATCTGACAAGAGATTAATAACCAGACTATGTAAAGAACTCAAGCAACTCATTAGCAAAAATCAACCCAATTTAAAAGTGGGTAAAAGATTCAAATATGCATTTCACAAATGAACACATATAAATGGCTAACAGGCATATAAACAAATTCTCAACATCACTAATCATTAAGGAAACACAAATCAAAAACACAATGAGATATTATTTCACCCCAGTTTAAAGCCTATTATCAAAAAGACAAAAAATAACAAATACTGGTGAGGATGCAGAGAAAGGGAACACCTACATAATGTTGGTGGAAATGTAAAGTAGTACATTCATTTTGAAAAACAGTATGGAGGTTCCTCAGAAAACTAAAAATAGAACTGCCATATGATCCAGCAGTTCTACTGTTGAGTATACCTCCAGAAGAAAGGAAATAAGTGTATAGAAGATATGTCTGCACTACCACGTTTATTGCAGAACTATTCACAATAGCCAAGCAATGGAATCAACCCAAGTGTCTATCAATGGATGAATGGATAAAGAAAATGTAGTATGTATACACAATGGAATATTATTTAGCTATAAACAAGGATAAAATCTTGTCATTTGCAGGGACATGGGTGGAACTGGGTGTCATGTTAAGTGAAATAAGCCAGGTACAGAAAGACAAATACTGCATGTTCTCGTTATTACGTGAAAACTGAAAAAGTAGATTTCATGGAGGTAAAGCATAGAATGGTGGTCATCAGAGGCTGGGAAGGGAATGGGAGAGGGATGAAGAGAAATTGGTTAATGGATACAAAAATACAGTTAAATAGAAAGAATACATTCTAGTATTTAATAGTAAAGTGGAGAAATTATGTAGGTTTCAAAATTGCTAATGAGAATAATTGTAATGTTCCCAACACAAAGCAAAGATAAATTCTTGACCTGATGGATATTCTAATTATCCTGATTTGATTATTCTACATTGTACATATGTATCAAAAATCACATGTACCCCATAACTATGTACAACTCCAACATATTCATAAAAATATTTATTAAAAGACAGGAGGGAACTTGTAGACTGTGTATCTTTTAAGTGCATTCTTTACTCTCAGTGGTTGTTGCTTCAGAGCTTTACTTAGCTGGGACTGTCTTCCCATTTACTATGTCACACATATCCGCTTTTTTTTTTTTTTTTTTTTTAAGACAGGATCTCCCTTTGTCTCCCAGGCTGGAGTGCAGTGGTGTGATCAGGGCTCACTGGAATCTTGACATCTTGGGCTCAGGCAATCCTCCCACCTCAGCCTCCCAAGAAGCTGGGACAATAAGTGCATGTCACCACACCTGGCTAATTTTTTAATTATTTTTAAAGATGGAGTCTCCCTACATTGTCCAGGCTGGTCTCAAACTCCTGGGCTAGAGTGATCCTTCTGCCTTGGCCTCCCAAAGTTTACAGGTATGAGCCACTGTACCCAGCCTGCATATCTGCTCTTACAGTTAAGTAGCATACATCAGGGATGCCTACAGATAATAAAGGGTGAGATCAGAAGATTTTGGAATTGATTTGAATGAATTATTAACACTGTAACAAAGTCAAGACCACCACAAAGAGCATCTTTTTGCTTGTGTGAGTACTAACAAAGAATCAAAATGAAAAGAAAGTTTAGGAAAAAAATGGGAAAAATTAAACTTCCTGTCACTTAGTAGACAAATATTAATAACTGCAATATGTATTCAGCAGTGTTTTTGCTTGCTAAGCCTTGTGTTATACATACATATTCTTCCAATGACTGTCTTAACATGTTACTGGGTTTAAGATGAGGCAAAATCTTGATATTATCACTATTTGAAATAGAATTTAAATTAGATAAATAATATTATGTTAATTTGTTAACATTTCCAGTTGACCAAGAAGAATATACTCTGTCACACAATTATAGTACATTTAAAATTATTTTTATGCATATATACTCATGTGTCAACAATGAGGATACATTCTGAGAAATGCATTATTTTGTTAGGGGATTTCTTCATTTTATAAACACTGTAGAGTGTACTTACACAAACCTAGATTGTATAGCCTACTACGTACCTAGGCTTACTATACACTTAGGCTATATGATATAGCCTATTGCTCCCAGGTGACAAACCTGTACAGCATATAAATATTATGAAGACTAAAGGCAATTGTAACACAATACAAAGTATTTGTGTATCTAAACATATATAAACCTAAAAGGACACAGTAAAAATACAGTATAAAAGATTTAAAAAAATGGTACACCTGTATAAAGTAGTTGTCAGGAAAGGAGCTTGTAAGACTGGAAATTCCACTAGGTGAGTCAGTGAATGAGTGATGAGTGAATGTTAAGGCTTAGTACATTACTGTATACTACTGAACACTGTACACTTAGCCTACACTAAATTTATTTTTAAAACTTTCTTTCTTCAATAATAAATTAACCTACACTTAATGAAACTTTTTCACTTTATACACTTTTAATTTTTAACTTTTTGACTCTTTTGTAATAACACTGTATTAGTCTGTTTTCACACTACTATAAAGAACTACCTGAGACTGGGTAATTTATGAATAAAAAAGGTTTAATTGACTCACAGGCTGAGGAGGTCTCAGGAAACTACAATCATGGCAGAAGGCAAAGGGGAAGTAAGGACTTTCTTCGTATGGCGGCAGGAGAGAACCAGAGTGAGGGAGGAACTGCCAAACACTTTTAAACAACAAGATCTCTTGAGAACTCACTCACTATCATGAGAACAACATGAGGGAAACTGCCCCCATGATTCAATCACCTCCTGCCAGGTCCCTCCTTCAACACATGGAGATTAAAATTTGAGATGAGATTTGTGTGGGGACACAGAGCCAACATATCAAACAAAGCATATAACATAAACACATTGTACCAAACCTCACTGACACGCACTTGATCTATGTAACAAACCTGCACATGTGCCCCTGAAACTAAAATAAAAGTTAGTAAAAATAAAATAAGTGTACTCTGAAAGTATGGTTGATACTCTTGAAATAATATAACTATTACTGGGCTTACTTTTCTCTGCAAGAGAATATTTATTCTGAATAAATAGAAAATATTTAAAGTCATGTAGATAATTAGACAAATTATGATAAAATATATCATCTTTTCCCTCTTAAAAGCTACTTTTCACTTTGGATAAAGATTTTTAAAGAGTCTGCTTTAAAAATAAATACCATTTTTGTTAAAGAAAAACAAAAACATATGTTTCTTTATATCTTTATAAGCTTTTTTCCTATTTTCATATTATTTTAATTTTTTGTTCTTTAAATTTTTGTTAAAAATTAAGACATAAAGATACACATTAGACTAGCTCGACACTGGTTCAGCATTATCAATATCATTGTCTTTCACCTCCACATCTTTTCCCACTGGAAGGTGTCTTCAGGGGCAATAACACATATGGAGCTGTCATTGCCTATGACAACAATGCCTTCTTCTGTAATACCTCTCGAAGGACTTGCCCTAGACTGTTTTACCAGTATCCTTTTGTTGTTGTTGTTGTTGTTAGTAAGTAAAAGGGGTACATTCTAAAATAATGATAAAAAAGTATAGTATAGTAAATATATAAATCAGTAACATAGTTGTTTATGTCATTATCAAGTATTGTGTACTAGACATAATTGTACATGCTATACTTTTATATGACTGGCAGAAGGTTTATTTAATATTGTTTCTACCAGCATCAACACAAACACACAAAAATGATTACACTAGGACATTACTATGGCTACACAATGTCACTAGGTGATGTGAATTTTTCGGCTCCATTATAATCTTACGGGACCACTGTCATATATGCAGGTTGTTATTGACTGAATGTTGTTATGCAGAGCACAATATCACTCAGAAAATACTTTGTTTTATTCTACATCATAAAGTATTTTAGAATTTCAAATGTGTGTGTTTTAAAATGTATTATGACTTCTACCCACATGGTAATAATATCCTTCGGTTAGAAAGTCAGTTCACATTTACTGAATTCATTTTAGTCTCTGATTAAATCTTAACTGAAATACTTTGATTTGCTCCAGGCTAGAACGTTTAGAATGGAAACAATGCCTCTACTTCTTCTACTTATTTCTTGTTTCTTGTATAACTAGAGAAAGATCTTGTGCAGTCTTGTTTTCTATACTCATGGGGAAAAAGAAAACCATATCAGGAACTTTTGTTGCTCGGGGTCAGTTACCAGCATTGAGTATGTAGCAATAAGGTAAAACTAACATTGGCCTAGTCATTAATATTTCTTATTTCCTTATAAATGCTAAACGATATACCATGCACATTTTATATTTTCCTTTACTATTTTCCAGCCTTTTAGTTCCTTGTTTACCAACAGAAAGTACTACATGGCCAAGTCTTGTATAATTAGTCCTACATATATGGTAGAATCAACCAAGTTCCTGGGTATGAGAAACTTAAGAAATTGTAGTACAAATCCCAGACATTAATATCAAATGGCTTCCACTGATGATCCATTCCTGACCTTGTGTCGCGGTGGTGATAACGGGCCTCCTCTCGTTTTGTGTTATGTCTATTGAGCTTTCTCGGGAGCTGTTGTGGACATTTGTTGCTTCTGCCAACTAAGCATCATTGCTCCTTCTTCTGGTAGCCACATCCCTATTTATCTTTTGGGAAATATTCTTCCCTGCTGCATTCAGTCTTGATCTACTATATTGATTCCTTTTATATACAATCCCTCCACAAATCCTGTTGACCTAAGGTTTAATCTATATCGAGAACTATCCTCTTCTTACTATTTCCATATTTCCCAGTGTCTCATACCTCAATTACAAAACCCTGCTCTCTGCTCTTTTTGCTTCCCAAATGTAGCTCTCTACAGTCTTTTCTCAGTAGAGCAGCCAACACGATTCTATTAAAAAGTAAATTAAACCACATCACTCCTCATCAGGATTCTCCATATTTTCCCATCTTACAATACAAATTAAAGCCCCAGCGGGATTTACATGTTCAGTCCCCTGTTATTCCTTAGAGTTTATCTCCTTCTGCTAGGAGGACATTATCATGAACATCATCATGACATTTTAGCCATGACCTTAAGTGAATATTCTCAGATATTTTCAGGAATATATGCCTTGTTTTTTTTTCAGATTTTTATCCAAATATTTGAACGGTGTTTTGTACATAGTGGGAAATCATCTAATATTTGTGTCTGAATAATTGTCAGACAAGGCTTTCTGCCTTCCTCTGACAAAGCATAGCCACATATCCAAGAATACATTTATTGATCTCTCATCTGTCTTTCTCTAAAGAAATTGATTTATGGAGTAGAGTAGATAAGGTTAAAAAGAGTTAAACTGATGCTTGTTGATAAAAGTGCCTTCTCATTTACCAGAATATCAGGGACCTAACCATGAGCACTTGTCCTTTTCAGCTGGTGGCAGATTTTCTAGTTGCCATTTACTTACCTTCAGTATTATATCCTCTCTAGTCCCAGTTACTCACCTGCCTGTGTGAACAACCCCAGAGCTAGAATCTCTTCTTCCACATTCCAATGGTGACTGCTTTCTGGAATTGTTTTAATTTTTGACTATATAAAGACACATGCACACGTATGTTTATTGCGGCACTATTCACAATAGCAAAGACTTGGAACCAACCCAAATGTCCAACAATGATAGACTGGATTAAGAAAATGTGGCACATATACAACATGGAATACTATGCAGCCATAAAAAATGATGAGTTCATGTCCTTTGTAGGGACATGGATGAAATTGGAAATCATCATTCTCAGTAAACTATCGCAAGAACAAAAAACCAAACACCACATATTCTCACTCATAGGTGGGAATTGAACAATGAGAACACATGGACACAGGAAGGGGAACATCACACTCTGGGGTCTGTTGTGGGGTGGGGGGAACGGTGAGGGATAGCTTTAGGAGATATACCTAATGCTCAATGACGAGTTAATGGGTGCAGCACACCAGCATGGCACATGTATACATATGTAACTAACCTGCACAATGTGCACATGTACCCTAAAACTTAAAGTACAATAATAATAAAATAAAATAAAATAATAACAATTTTTGACTATGGGATAGCTAGTATCTATATATAAAGATGCTGTTCACACTAGGGCAAACATTTTAGCATGTGTTGTGTCATATTTTTCATAGTATAAGGAGTAGAAATGTGAAGAATATCAAAGACTATTAGAAAATGTGTCAAATTCTTCTATTGTAAATATACATGGGGTTTTTAACAAAACACACATTCTTCAAATTGATATTATGTCTAATATAAATTGAAATATAGTTACATCATTATGATGGTTTTACCTTTTTCCATTCTCAAAGGCCCACCTTGAAAAACATAAACTCTCTCTCTTTTTTAAGTTCACAATTTATTTATGACCCAAAAGGCCTATAAATAGTCTGTAAAACCTCTATCAAGTGAAAACTGTCTACAAGTAAAGACATATGATATTGTGTCTCAGGAAAAGAAAAAGGCATATATTTATCAATTTAGTAATTATCAAATATATATTAAGTATCTACTGTATACGAGTTACTCTTACAGATGCAGGGGATGCAATGGTGATTACCCTATGAAATGGCCTATGCTAATATTTTGCTTCGTAAACATTTGCCTGTTTGGAATAAAATACCAATTTCCACTGCAACAGCCTTTAGAAGACATTTTACATTATTAATATTTGTCCTGTAAATTAAATATTATCTTCTTTGTTTTCCTAATTGTATTAGAAATAAACTGACTGAATCCTCCTTCAAACTTTATCCTCTTTATGATAAAAGAGTTACTTACAAGCCCTATTCATTTTTTTACCAGACTATATATATCTGTCTTTACTTATTTAAGGGATATAGGAAAGTTAAATAAATGTGTACCGCTTCCAAAAATAGATGCTTAATCTAGTAGAGGATAATTAAATGGAAATAAATATATTTTTTAAAGTTTGGATTTGTTTAGCAAATATCTACTTATATATTAATGATGAAATATGACACTTGTAAATTATGAAATACCTTAAGCATTATTATTTTAATTTCAAACTATATATTCATTACTATATAGAAATTTTATATAAATACATGATTCTACACATAAAAATTGATAGCTATAGAACTTAGTACCTAAATACATCAACAATATTAGTTACTATTGCTTTAATTTAGTATATTACTTGTTTGGTTTTGCCAAAATTTCCATTTCATTATGTGATGAATAGCAATAAATAGGGTTTGCTCTCAAAGGTCCATTCTTATAAAAAATGGAAACTACTTTCCTGCGCGTGTTCACATTTGTAACTAAATTCACTCCTGATTTGGCATGTGCTTTTCCAATATGAGCAATTCCAAATCCCCATAATGAAAGTATGGAATAATATAGAGACTTGAATAGATTGAATAAAAGACTTATAAGTAATCAGATGTAAGTGTTATTATGACCATGCCATCCAAAAATAATACAGTTTCAAGAGATTGAAAATTGTGTATATTGATCCCCAAATTCTTTCATCTCAGAAAAAATAACCACCTTTTCTAAAAAGAAAAAAACTACTTTAAAACAGTTTCTTCAGATAGATGTTCCTAGGGTAAGTGTTTTAAAAGTCAAAAAAATTTGAACTTATTTTGTAATAGAGTTATGATCAATTTAAAGATGAACTCAGTGAATTAAATAGTAAGTAAAGAAGAAACTAATTTTGATATTTCCCAAAGAGGCTAGGTTAATGTCTAATTGAGATGATGTATTTTCATACCTTTGCTTTTCAAATTTTACAACAGCATATTGATTTAGAATTTTCCCTGAACATAAGTCAAATCCATTTTTTCCTACTTTATCAATGCAGAAATATTCCTAATTCTGAAATTAGCATTTTTAATATGTGAGTTCATATTGATTCTAACTACAACTTTTTAAAAAGTCCAACAGCCAGTATCCCGTGTGATTATTTCGTATTATTCATCCATTTCCATGGATAAATTTAAACTGTTATCACATGCCTATTTGTGTATTTAGAAGTTCACTGATAAAAGAAAAACAAAAAGAAAACAAAACACTAAAATTACGATGTGGGTTATAAAAATTGCTTGCTGTGTTTATCTGAAGTATAACTTGTCTCATGTAGATTTCAATATATTTCTTGCATAGAAAGCATATAAATCAGGCATTATTGATTTTTTACTTTTTGTGAATGCATAACAATCATTTTCTTTTATTTTTTATCTGGATAGTTTGGGGCAGGTTTTGTGTTTGTGCATGCTTTATTTTTATTTAATTAACTATATAGCTAATAATTGGTAATATTTGACATCTTCTTCAGTGCTGTTCTTTTTCATTATTTTTCAAAATAAGCCTTTTTTTTCTGTTCCAAAGCTTATCTGGAAGGTGTATTATTCTTTTTTAAAGTGGCATGGTTTATTTGGATTTAGTTTTGAAACTTACTTATGTTTTCATTTCTCAATTTAGCCTTCGTGTATTTTCCATTCCTAATTCTAGCTCATTTTATCACAGATTCAAAATATATATTTTACTGAATGCTGAATGATGTCTGCTTGCATATCTAACAAATTGAACATGAATGATGTATTTGACTTACAGGAGATACACTGTGAAAATCAGTGATATCAGGGAAGGTTAAAAATGTATAAAGCATGTTATTACCACAGAAGTATAACTGGGGAAATTGTACTCCTCTTATTTTGCATTAGTACATATAGAAACTTATAAAGGGTGGGCTGAAACAGAATAATTTAAAGATCAGGCTTCTCAGAGCACAGGGCATCAAGTCTCCATTTGTAGCTGTAGGGACTCTGTGAAGCACATATCACAAAACTGCTCTTGACAGTTTGGACAGTGTGGATTTACTCCAACTGGCACTGGGATGGCCTCCCAAAGGGAGCATAGTCAAGGTGCACACGGGCCCAAGTGCCCATCATCTGTCAGACACCCTTTCTCATCTCTGACTTGGGTTCATTTCACTTTATCTCTGAGACACAGACACCACGTCACCCATGACATCTGACAGAAACTACAACAGATTGAGAAAATAAAAATAAACCTTGAAAGCTCAACATTTAAATCATGTTGTATTTCTTTGAAAAAGCTGTTATTTTATTAAAATGCATCCTTAGTCTCAGATGTGCTGGCTTTTCTTTAAAAGTGAGTTACCATTCAATTCTTGACAAAGAAATGGGTAATTGATATTTCATTCGTATTTCTCAAAATGAGTCGCTTTTTTCTCATTAAGCTTTGTTTTAATGGGTCTCAAAATTCTGCAATAGATTTTTTGTCAAGTTGTTTCTATTAAAAAGTATGGATTTTAAAAACTAATAACTAAAAATTGTCAAATGCAAAAATAAAATAGTTCACAAAACACTTTCCTTTCCTTCTGAAGGTTTTACGATGCATTGTTATCATCAACCAGACTTATTGTTAAACTTAAATGGCCAATTGAAAGGAATAGTTCTGAGACCATTCTTCCACCACTGATTAAGACTGGGATGGTAGGTAGAGGTATCATATTCATTTAGCCTTCTGAGTTGTCTGGGCAGACTTAGTTACCTTGCCAGCTTCATAAACCTTCTTGTCGACTACGTTGATGACACCCAAGCAACTGTTTCATATGACGAACAGCAAAATGACCCAGAAGAGAATAGTTAGAGAAGGTCTCAACACACATGCACTTGCTAGGAATCTTATCAATGATGGAAGCATCACCAAATTTCAAGAATTCAGGGTCATTTTCCAGCTTCTTACCAGAACAGTGCTCAATCTTTTCCTTCAGTGCAGCAAACTTTCCAGCAATGTGAGCAGTGTGACAATTCAGTACAGGGGTGTAGCTAACACTGATTTAGCCTGGAAGTTTCCGAATAATCATCTGAGCAGTGAAGCCAGATGCTTCCATTGGTGGGTCATATTTGCTGTCACCAGCAACATTGCCACAACGAACATGCTTGACAGGCACATTATTAAAACTGAAGCCCACGTTGTTCTTAGGAAGAGCTTCACTCAAAGCTTCATGGTACCTTCCAACAGACTTTACTTCAGTTGTAACATTGACTCAAAGAAAGGTGACCACCATGCCAGTTTCAGAACACCAGACTCCACTTGGCCCACAGGGATAGTACCAATATCATTTTGTAGACATCCTGGAAAGGCAGATGCAATGGCTTGTCAGCTGGGTGAGTTGGTGGTAGTTTGCAAACCAGACCTTCAGGCAGCATGGTTCCACCGGCATTGCTGTCTTTATCAATGACTTTCCATGCCTTGAACCAAAGCATGCAAGCACTTGGCTCACCATCCCAACCAAAAATTGGCACAAATGCTACTTTATGACGGTAGTAAGTCAATTTTCTTAATGTGAGGGCTGACTTCCTTAACAATTTATTCATATCTCTTCTGGTTGTAGGGTGGAATCTGTGGATTCTACTTTTGTTAACACCGACAATTAGTTGTTTCATACCCGGTGTGTGAGCCAGAGAAGCATGCTCATGGGTTTATCCACTCTTGGAAAACATAGCTTGAAAATGACCAAGGCCAGGAGCAACAATCCGGACAAGCCAGTATGAGATATGCCTGCAATCAGATTTTTAATAAAGTAGCTGTGTCTTGGGTCATCAATGATAGTCACATAATACCTGCTGATTTCAAATTTCCACAGAGCGATACCAATGATGATACTACATTCACACTCGACAGTTTACTATATTCACACTCGACAGTTTATTAAGACTGACCCAGGCATACTTGAAGGAGTTCTTTCTCATCTCAGTGGCCTCATTCTCAATATTTTCAATGGTTCTTTCGTTGATTCCACCACATTTGTAGGTCAGATGGCCAGTAGCGGTGTACTTGCCCAAATCTACATGTCCAATGACAACGATATTGATATGAGTCTTTTTGTTTCCCACTTTGGTTTTAGGGGTGGTTTTCATGACATCTGTGTTCTGACAGCAAACCTCTTGCGAAAAGAATGAGTTGTTTTGCTTTATCAGTCTGCTTGGGCGATCAAACTCTGTGACCAAATGGGCAATCTTGTGTATGGCATACTTCTTTTAGTTAAATAGTATTTCATCTCCACATTATAGACATGGACTTATAACTGTGTCAACATAAAAGGCAGGCGGATCACCTGAGGTCAGGAGTTTGAGACCAGCCTGGCCAACATGGCAAAACCCCTTGTCTCTACTAAAAATACAAAAACTCGCCAGGCACAGTGGCACATGCCTGTAATCTCAGCTACTCAGGTGGCTGAGACAGGAGAATCGCTTGAACCCGGGAAGCAGAGGTTGCAGTGAGCCGAGATCGGCCACCGCACTCCAGCATGGGCGACAGAGCAAGACTCTGTATCGAAAAAAAAAAAGAAAAAAATCCATTGTTAACTTTTACCTGACTTTGTTTATGTTTGTTTTAATTTCATCTATACTGTTGGTTCAGGGAAGGTCCTTTGCATACTGTTTTATACTGTGATAGGGATGACTATATCTTCAGGTTTTCAATACAAGAGCAAAATGTATAGAACTACAAAAATACATTTTTAAAAAATAATTATTTTGACTCCTGTTTCCCCAATACTTTGCATCATAATTGATTGTATAACACTTTCTATAAAATAGTACAAAACAGAGACTTCATTTCTCTTAAGACCTTTTTATTATGAAAAACATTTCTTGCACATTTTCCCCTTCTTGTACCTCCCGTCATGACATTTTCTAAGCTTTCTTGCTTTTTGATGGTTTGCCTCTTAGATATAGATGGGTATTTTGAAAAGGATTTGCGGTGGTTTTCCTAGAGTATGATTTACAGCCAGTGAACAGTTTCCTATAATAGTCAACATCTTGCTGTTAGTCATCCATTTGCATTGATTATTTTGCATTACATATGCAACACTTAAATTCTCTGTCTGGCATCTGATCTTTTTATAAACCACCCAAATTCTACTTTATTGTGATACTTGGAGTTAGGTCCATGCAGAGCAGAAAACTTATTTCATAGTCCCTACTTGTTTATTACTTGTATAAATCCAAGAGATATTATTGTGTCTCAGTGAACTACATGCATCTAATTAATCAACCAACAACTCTGAGCACCGTATGGTACACAGATAAGTATAAAACAGTAAAAGAATGTGTTCAGCATTCTTACAGTCTGAAGTGACAAGACATGAAAAAAAGGAATCAACAAAAGAAGTGGAAGAGAGCAAAACATTATAAATTTATCAAAGAGTTGCAGAAATAAGTGCTAGGACGTGCAGAGAAGAACAGCTTCCCATGGAGAGAAATTGGACATGGGAGTAGAGATGGAATGCAAAGAGAGATGATAAAGGAACATTAAAGAATAAATAGATTTATATTGGTAATTTGAGGAGATAGAATATGAGGAAGATGATCCTTAGGAGAAGAGAGTTGGAAGACTGTTAAAAAACACACGGATACAAGAAAGAAAATGGAATTTGTGGCCGGGCACAGTGGCTCATGCCTGTAATCCCAGCACTTTAAGAAGCCAAGGCGGGCGGATCCCAAGGTCAGGAAATAGAGATCATCCTGGCTAACACGGTGAAACCCAGTCTCTACCCAAAATACAAAGAATTAGTCGGGAGTGGTTGGGGAGGCACCTGTAGTTCCAGCTACTCGGGAGGCTGAGGCAGGAGAATGGCGTGAACCCGGGAGGCAGAGGTTGCAGTGTGCCGAGATTGCGCCACGGCACTCCAGCCTGGGTGACAGAGTGAGACTCCATCTCAAAAAAAAAAAAAAAAAATAGACAATTTTCCTATTGGTAATGGTTTGTGTATATAGTGTGAACTAAAACTGGAAGAAAAGTTTGTGTTTTGAACCTAACAGCATAATATACCATGTTCAGCAGCCTGAGTCTAATAGGTAGGTTGTATGAATCCCATATAATAAATTATTATTTCAGCAAAACCAATAAAGTACTATGCAAATGTGTCCTAATAATTAAGTTGGAAGAATAGACCATCTCATTTCAGTGTTTCAGCTGGCATATAGGGACATGAAACAGAGCATTAGCTGTAGGAATAAAAAGAAAGGGATGGCTGAAAGAGAAGTTACACTGAAACAAAAGATTGGATAATTAAGGTAACCCTGAAATTTGTTTTGTCAAGAAAATTATGAATTCAGTTTTCAAAATGCCAACTTTTAGGTGAAAATGGAACATCTCAGTGTTTCTGTTTAGCTATTTTAGATGGAGGGTCAGAATTCAGAGAGATTAAAAACAAGGGTCAAACATTTTAGAGATGAGCTTTGAGGTTTCTATGAATTTTTGACACTGAAGCTCTGTTAACAATTACCAATTAAGTTTCCCGTAATGTTAAACCCTTTCATATATGTTTGTGTTGAACAAATAAAATTTTTCTGGCCAAAGGCTAGGTTCTAAAATCTTTCCCCCATTCCACCTCCTGGGAAATATATACTATACTTCATAAATTTAAAACATCACTACAAAATCAACTCCTAGTACCTATCCTACTGATACTGGAATAGCAGTGAAGTTCCATTTGTAGTGGCACATTCCTCCTATATGATAGAGACAAGTTTTCTTTTTCAGAGCAGTTACTACTATATCACCAATAATTTATGTACTTTATGTTTTCTTCCATTGATTCTTATGAAGTAATTTTCATAAGTACCTTGTTATTTACACATGATACCTGTCTACTTGGTAGACAAGTATTTTAGCCTCTCATTTCATTTCTTGCTAAATACCCTATTATTCTATAGTTAGCCCTTAGAGAAGTAGGTACACTATTTACTTATAGTAAAACCACTTTTGAAATAGTAAGTTAAATATATAATGGGCCAGATCTCATTTAAATGTAGAATTTTAGAAAGCTAAAGTGCTACAGGAAATTGGTTATTTGGCATTCCAGTGCCTTATAAGTTATAACATTTATTAGTATTATTAACACCTAGTATTAATAATACCATATATATTTCAAAACTGTGCAAAATATTTATTTTACTCAAGAAGATCAAATTCAAAGTATTTTATATGCTATTGTAGAGTAGGGAGATCTTTGTTTGATTATGATCATCCTTAAAATTAATAGCCCCATTTTTGGTATTACAGATCCTGGCATGACTGAGCCCATGCCAGTCTGTTAGAGCAATAAATTGAAAATGCATGCAAATCCTTTATTATTTCTACCTTAAAGAGTTGAAGTCTATTTTTTTCTTCCTTTGAAAGAAGGCAAGTCCTGTGACCTGATTTAACCAATAGAATGTGGTAAAGTGACCTTGGATAAATGCTCAGATTACATGTTGAAAGATCTGGAGCTTCCACCTTTAACCACTTTACATGCTCTGTCTTAAAAGCCAGCCGCCTTGTAAGATGTCTGACTACTTTGAGAACACCATGCTGTGAAGAGGCCAATTATCTACATGACCCTATATAAGTCACTTAGCATGGTAATTTGAAAATAGGGAAAATAATATCCTCTTTAACTACTTGATACTCTGAAGATTCCCTGACTAGTAAATATGAGTATATTGTAGATGAGTATATATTACTTTTCAGTGTATACTTTTGTGAATATATATTTAAAAATAAAACTTGCTCCGCAAAGTCTTTGACCTTGAGAAACCGAGAGTTTAATGTATTTTTGAATATTCTATGTATCCTATATTTTAGGATATTTACATAGGCTATGTGAACTTGAATAATAAATATTTGCACAGTCTAATATGCAAAGGTAGCTCATCTCTGGCCAAGGCTGTATTGGCATATGTGGCACTGAGTCTATATTAACATTCTGTAAATAACAAAAAACAACTTGAGTTTAAGTAGAAAAACTCTTATTTTGAGGATTCAAAAATCAATGGGCCAAAATATACCCAGAGCTCAGAAATCAATTGAAATAAGAAATAGAAATACATCAGTAACTCAAGATAACCTTATTTATGGTTCTCAATGTTTAGCTACATCACTATTCTTTGGCTGTAACCTGTATTATGTTCTGCAACTTTGTTCAAGTACTGTAGACACATTGCTCTATAAGGCATACATCGTAAAGTTGCTTTTTTGAAGGCACCAGCACAAATTAAACTATAATCTTTTAGATACTAATCATCTAATACCAATTTTAAATCATGGGAAATGGATTATTGTCTTTGGTAAAGTCGCCACTTGTGCAGTCATTTGTGGCCATGGGAACAGAACTTATTGTACTGACACCTCCACTGAAGTTACAACCATATGAATTAGGGAATAGACATGGATTTCATAGGAAAAATAATGTTATTATTGGCTTAAGCTGGGCGGTAAACCTAGAGGGGTCTCCTACTGGTTGCTATTAGTGGAGATAGAAAACTCATCTTAATTTGTCTGGTCTCAGGACAAATTTCCTTTTGACTATCATTTTTCTGATAATATTTCTGATGCCATCTTCCTTTATCATCATGGTTTCATTCAGAAGGAAGTGACCTATTTGATTTGTAGCTGAGAAAACATGTAATTAAATAACACCCTTGGGCTCATTCTATTTTTCTGCCTTATCACAAAATAAAAAAGAAACGTCTCCTAAAGGAGAAATAAAGAAAATACTGATACATAGCAAATGATACTTTAGATTTGCCTACAAGGACAATCCTCTTACTACAAAATAAGTGACTATAAAGTATTGGAGAACTTTGGAAAAAAAATAAAACAACTACCTAAGCATTGTGAATGCTGTAACGTAATTTATTAAGTTTGTTCCAAAACACAAAGAATTATTAGATCATCTTTTATTGAAGCTGCTTCATTATCATTATCAGCATTTGTAACTTCAACAAAAGCAATACTTCTAAACTAGAAATATATTAGATTCTTGAAATTATGTTAAAAATTAAGACGTTATAGGAGACATTTATTTTAAACTTCCAACACATTTATATTAGCATTAAAACAGAAAATATGTAAAAAGCTTAAATGAAAAATGAAAGATTTAAATATAAGGTGAAATTTCAAAGATTATGATGTTTTTACTAGAAAACAAATAGAAACGATATTTTAATTGTTTTTATTTTAGTCATTCTCATCTCCCCCACCTTTTGTATGCACTTGAAAGACATGTGTGAAATTGAAGAGAATAACAGTAGACAACAAAAAGAACACAAAAATATCACTTACGAAGATTTTAGTTATAAGCAGGAGCTAAAAAAAAAAAACCATAAATTTGAAAGCCACCTTATGGAAATAGCCAGTAGGATTTTATCAATAAGCATACTGATGTCTATTTGTACTGCATAATTTATAAGCACATCGGGATATCCAAGGCATGAAAAACACAATTCAAAAACACAAGCACAAAACCAAACAAACAAGCGAAGAGCATATACCTGAATATATTTGGAATATAAAGCCTTAGAATTAAGCTTAAAATTGAGGATAGCACTGATTGTAGTGATCATCATATCTAATAAGCAACTAGTTCATTAATCTTAAGAAAAGGCTTCATTTATATATTTGATAAGATAATAACTTACAAATCACATGCTTCAGTGAAGACAGTGGAACAAATAAGTTCTAATTAAAAAATGTTTTATAAACCAAATGGTATCACGTAAGTTCATTTTATTAGGCTATTGCCACAGCTATCAAAATATCATAAAATAAATGATTAATAAGGCAAACAATACTAGTTTATTATTTAACCAAGATTTACTCAGCACCTAATATTTGTAAGCCAAGTGATAGGTCCTGGTAAATAATTAAAGAGATGAAAAACACACCATATCTAAGAAACACTCTAAAGCATTAAAATAATAAATGTATTCACTACACAAGGTTAGAAAAGACTAGCAAATAATTGCTAAAGTACTTAATCAAAAGTTCAGCAGGCTGTATGTGCTAATTGAGAAGATGCAGTTGGGGGAGTGAAACTCTCATGATTGATTAGGGGAATATATTTGGTTGTCTCTAGTTGGTCCTAAATTGGAAGTGGGGACAAAAATGAGGGAAATTGTTAGTTATTGTTTAAGCAGTGACTGTTTTGGGATGATTGCTACCGGGTTTGTGGCTTGGCTTCCTGGATTGGTTGCTGCAGATTCTGGGACAGCTCTGTTTCTATACATGATATGTTAAGTCTCTCATTACTTAGGCAAAAAAAAAAAAAAAAATGTGTGTGTGTGTGTGTGTGTATACACATACATAGTTATAATAAATATCGAGAATTATTAACTTTAACATTATAGATAATGTCAGTTATTTATAGGGTAGGTGGTTGGATTTTCAGGGATGGATACCTTCTTTGTGTGAAGGGAAAGAAATTAATAAAAATTACTTATTGAGCATATTAAAAACTGAGTATATTCAGGTCACTAGGATTTAGAAGCAAAGGGGTACAAATCCTGTAGAAAAAAATGATAGAATCATGAAATCATTTGTATTATTTTGACCAAAGAACTGAGGCAATTCAATATGTGAGGAGAGATTTTCTATAATTTTTTTCATCTTAAATTTTCTTGGGTATATAATAGGTGTATATATTTGTAGGGTACATGAGCTGTTTTGATACTGGTATGCAATGCATAATAATCACATCAGGACCTCATGAGGTATTCATTTGAAAGGAGAAATTCAATTACTGTAGTACTAGAACCAAAGATGTAAGTAAATGTAGGACATGCTCATTACCCTCTGCCCCACCTTACAATAATGAAAGGTAAATGAAGTAAGCCAGAATATATAGTTGAACCCACTTTTCATCTAACTCTATGTGAAAGCTCTAGAGAAGATTTTGGGAAACTGTAGAGATGTAGACAAATTAGTGAGGTAATAAATTAATCTGAGTTAAGGATATAAGAATTACTTTTAGTCTTTATGTTAGTGAGAGTTTCTGATTTTGAGAATCTAGCCTTTCTTCCACATTCTCTGGCCAAGTTAATGTAGATATGACTGCATATGTGCATTGGGTTTTCCTGTTTTATTTATTGGCATCTGTGTCTAAAACCAAACGAACAAATATCCTTGAATTGAGAAACTGAAGCAGCTCATTCTCCTTGTTTACTATGCAAGTTCATCTGGGATCGCTAAATTTAGGTAGGCGGTTACTTAGATTACCCTTCTTACCCTTATTACCACCAAGCTTCGGTACAAACAGGTTTGTGGCAGTAAAGCAGAATCAGTTTTTACTGTCAAATTTTCCTTAAATCTCTATAATATCATCTACTTTTATTATCAAAATTCACCAGTGAATACTCTATAGGAATTGAGAAGCCCCACTATCATGGTATCTAAGACATAATCCCTATACACACTGAGTATGTGTTTATTATGGCAAAGCAGACATGTGCACAGATAACTCTAATTAAAGCTTAACAGTTAGTAACCTCATAGATGTACCATAAAGTCATGTAAGTTTTCAGAGTGGACAGTGTGTGTTTGCATTTGAAGTAAACGATTTATTGGATCAAAGTGGCTTTATGTTGAGGATAAGACTGAAATGGATGTTCAAGGAGAGGATAAATCGATTTTGTAGAATGTCAGAAAAGGAGCTTAGATAAATATTTTTCTTAAAAGGAAGTCATATGACTGAAAACATAGAACCTAGAAACTTGTTTGGAAGGAATATAGACATCTCTGGGAAACAATGATAATACAGCTTAGAAGCTAAAGAAAAATAAAACATTATTTTGGAACTATTACGTTTGGAACTATTGCAGGAAATTGGGTTTACAAAACATTGCTGTGGATGAGATATTTATATGATGCCTATCCTCTACCAGCCTAAAGCTTAACTTGTGGGATGATAAAATAAGTAAACAGAAAACAATCCAATCGACAGGATAGCATACATGTTATATGAAACATACACTTCACTGATTAAATCCATACATTTGCTGTAACAAAACTATTGGAAATTAATACTTTCCTATGTTAGATTTAAAATAAGATTAACAAATCCTGTTTCTGCATTATAATTTTATACATTTGATTGATTCAAATTCTGCTTAAATATTTTTATTGTTTTACAATTTGGCTGGCAAAAATAAGAAAAGTTTCAAATTTTTTATGACCATAATTTTCTAGGCTTCATGCACTGTTTTACCTTTAAAAGACACACAGTGAAAAGTACTTCCTGCTATCATGGCATAATTTTGTTTTTGGAGCCACTCTTGTCAAGGCAAGGATATCTAGAATTGTTTTGCTAGGTTTTTCTTCTGGGGGAGACAGTTTAACAACTATCATTATCAAAACAAAATATAATTACTAATGATTTTTTTCTGAAAATTGAGATATATAGTAGCTGAATGAGCTAATGGGAAGCCTCTATTCAAGTTGTAATTTGCCTTTCTCATTTTGTGACAAAATATCACTGGAAAGAGAATTAAAAGCAAATATTTTATTTTTACATTTTTATATTTTAAATAAAAAATAAAAATTTTAAACCTTCTCAGTGGAACTTAAAAATAAATTAGTCATAGCTGTCCAAAAGCTTACACTAAGATTACTACTTTTGGTCTGGAGTGTATTACAAGACACAATGATTTTTTAAATTAAAGGCTGTCTAGATTATTCTTCATTAACATTTAAGGCCACATCCAAACTGATTAAGAAAAAACACTAATATTTTGACTAACAAATGTCAGTTTCTTGTCTTTCACCAGCTCAGAATGGTTTAATCTTCTTTCATAACCCCTAGTCTACCTGTCTTTCATGTTTTTTGTTTTGTTTTGTTTTGTTTTTTTGAGACAGAATCTGGCTTTGTCTCCCAGGCTGGAGTACAGTGGCGCGATCTTGGCTCACTGCAAGCTCCGCCTCCCAGGTTCACACTATTCTCCTGCCTCAGCCTCCGGAGTAGCTGGGACTACAGTCGCCCGCCACCAAGCCCGGCTAATTTTTTTGTATTTTTAGTAGAGACGGGGTTTCACTGTGTTAGCCAGGATGATCTCGATCTCCTGACCTCGTGATCCGCCCACCTCGGCCTTCCAGAGTGCTGGGATTACAGGCGTGAGCCACCGCGCCCGGCATCTTTCATGTTTTTGAACCATGCACATAACTCTCCATACTTCATGTGTAATGGCTAATATTTCTGTTTAAAAAAATATTAAACATTTGTTTATCTTGCAAGAGTTTCATTTACCATTAGACATGCATTAAGGCGGAAGTAGTACAGTTAAGAATGTTAGCAGTTCATAGGGTGCAATTTCAGTGGTTCAAGAATTCTCTCAAAGTAAATATGCAGACAGGGTCAACTCGTTTGAGGCTTTCCCCTTTCTTTATACCACCAATTAAGCTTTCTAATATCTACTATCCTTTCTCCTAAGGCCACCTGCTCTGGAACTTTTAAGATAAAAAATAAACTT
Source organism: Homo sapiens (assembly GCF_000001405.40). Lineage (NCBI taxonomy): Eukaryota > Metazoa > Chordata > Mammalia > Primates > Hominidae > Homo > Homo sapiens. The sequence goes on along the minus strand of NC_000005.10, from coordinate 99,987,153 downwards.
CTTTGGTAAAAGATCATTTTCTCCTAATGTAAGAATAGAGAGAAACTTGCCTTGGTCGTATCCAATACATGATTCTCTTTTTGTTTTATCATTGTTTTGTATCACATCAAATTATACTTTGCAACTCAATTGTCTCCATAACAAAATCTCTATTTGTTTATCAGAGGGAAAAATTCACACAATTAAATATATATTTAATTATATTTTTATTAATTATATATGGAAGCTTTGTTCTTTCGCTCTTCACAATAAATCTTGCTGCTGCTTGCTCTTTGGGTCCGTGCCATGTTTAAGAGCTATAATACCGCGAAGGTCTGCAGCTCCATTCTTGAAGTCATCAGGACACAAACACACCGGAAGGAACCAACTCCGGATACACTATCAAAATTTTGGGATTGATAAGAAAAAAGTATATAGAATGAAAAAAACAAAAGCTATTTATTTTTACTGAATATTCTTCTTTTGATATCTGCTGACCATGGGATATAAGGAATTATAAGATAATTCACTGTCCCTTAGGTTCCCATTACAGATAGATATATACATACATATATATACACATACCGTTAATTCACACAATATATATATTTAATTATATATGTAATATATATTTAATTGTGTGAATTAATGGTATATATGTATATATATTTAATTGTGTGAATTAATGGTATATACATATATATTTAATTGTGTGAATTAATGGTATATATGTATATATATTTAATTGTGTGAATTAATGGTGTATATATATATCTGTTATATATATGTGTGTTATATATATGTGTTATAGACTTATGGAGAAGACCTTCAATTATCAATTATAGGTTTTAAATTTACCCTGGCTTTTAAAGGAATAGAGTACACTGTTTTTTCTTTACTACTTTTCTCTCTCTCTCTTTCTCTCTTTCCTTCTCTGACTTTCTGTCTCTCTGTCTCTTCCTCTCTCTCTCTCTGACTCCCTTTTTTCTCTCTGTCTCTTGCTGTCTCTCTTTCCTTCTCTCTTTGACTTTGTCTTCTCTCTCTCTCTCTTCTTCACTCTTTGACTTTCTGTCTTCACCACCCCCCCCCACCCCTTTCCTCTCTGCTGTCTTTCCCTGCCTCTGCCAGCCACTTATGCTGCTGTTCTCCCCTCTCTTTCCCCTTTTTGATGGCTTCAGCACTGTAAGACTGCCACCTCCTTGGGTTTTTGCACTGTGTGCAATAACTCCATGATTCCCTAGTGGTATTTAATGGGGCTTCCCCCAGAGGTTAGGAACTCCCTTTCTTTCCATATTACAGCATGGGCATATAGGATTAGATAAGCATACTTGCTATCTGTATACACATTTATTCTTTTTCCCTTTCCAAGTTCTAAGGCTCGGGTAAGTGCCACTAGTTCTGCTAACTGGACACTGGTCCCTGGGGGAAGAGGCTTACTTTCAAGTACTGTTACATCACTAACTAAGGCATAACCTGCCCTTTGTGTCCCATTTTCCACAAATGCACTTCCATCGGTATATAGGTTAAGGTCAGGATTAGCTAAGAGGACTTCTAAGAGATCCTCTTGGGTAGCATATGTCTGGAATATAATTTGTTGGCAGTCATGCTCTATTGGTTCCCCATCCTCTGGGAGAAAAGTGGCAGGGTTGAGTGCTGCACACATCCATTTTTGAAGCACTGGTCCCTCAAGGAGTAGCGCCTGATATCTAAGCCGGTGGTTGTCTGATAGCCATAACTTCCTTTGGCACCTAGTATGCCATTTACATGGTGAGTAGTCCAGACAGTGAGATCCTTTCCTTGTATTATTTTGATAGCCTATGATACTAAGATGGCCACTGCTGCAACTACCCATAAACAGTGAGGCCAGCCTTTTACTACAATATCAATTTCCTTACTTAGGTATGCCACTGTTTGTGGGGTTGTCCCATGAGTCTGAGTAAGGACTTCAAGACCTATTCAGACTCTCTCTGTGACGTATAAAGAGAAGTTTTGTCCTGTGGGAAGTCTTAAGGCTGGAGCTTGTATTAGGGCCTGCTTTAAGGTTTTGAAGCTTGTTGCTGCGGGTTCCTTTCTACTAGATGAGTATTTGCCCTCTGGGTCTCCTTAATTAGAGGATATAGGGGCCTGGCTATCTCGCTATATCTGGGGATCCTTAGTCAGCAAATGCCAGTGATTCCAAGGAACACCCACAACTGTTTTAATGTCTTAGGGTGAGGATAAGCCAGTATAGGCTGTATTCGTTCCTTGCTGAGGGCCTTGGTTCCTCTGGCTAAGATTAGGTCTAGATATTTAACTTGTTGTAGGCAGAGCTGGGCCTTCAATTTAGACACCTTGTACCCTTGATTAGCTAGAAAGTTCAAGAGATCTAGAGTAGCCTGCTGGCATGAGGCTTCCAAACTGGTAGCAAAAGTAAATCATTCACATACTGAAGGACCAGAGTCCCTGGACTTGAGAAGTGGCCTAGATCTTGGGCCAGTGCCTGACCAAACAGATGAGGGCTACCCCTAAAACCTTGAGGCAAGACTGTCCATGTAAGTTGGGACGTGCGGTCTGTGGGATCCTCAAAGGCAAAGAGAAACTGGGAGTCAGAGTGCAGCAGAATACAGAAGAAGACATCCTTGAGGTCCAGAATCATGAACCATTCTGCTTCCTCTGGTATTTGAGAGAGCAGAGTATAGGGGTTGGGTACAACTGGATATAGAGGAATTACTCCCTCATTGATGAGTCTAAGATCTTGCACTAGTCTCCACTGACCGTTCGGTTTTTGTGCTCCTAGAATTCAGGTTTTGCAGGGACTGCTGCATTTTCTTACTAAGCCTTGAGCTTTTAAATGTCTAACAATATCCTGTAATCCTTTATGAGCTTCAGGCCTTAAGGGATATTGCCTTTGATAAGGAAAAGTGATGGGGTCTTTTAGCCTGATTTGGACTGGGTGGGCCCTTTTATATTCAAAGACATCACTACACATTTCCGCTTTCTTTCTTAAATTATCATATTATTTTTTCCCCTCTCAGTTCACTGCAACCTCCACCTCCTGGGTTCAAATGATCCTCACCCATCAGCCTCTCGAGTAGCTGGGACTACAGGCAAGTGGCACCATGCCTAGCCATTTTTTTTTCTTTTTTCTTTTCTTTTCTTTTTTTTTTTTTTTTTTTTTTTTTGAGACAGAGTCTTGTTCTGTTACCAAGGCTGGAGTGCAGTGGTGTGATCTCAGCTCGGTGCAACCTCTGCCTCCCGGGTGTAATCCCAGCACTTTGGGAGTTTGACACAGGTGGATCACTTGAGGTCAGAAGTTCGATCCCCCGGTTTCACCGTGTTGTCCATGATGGTCTCAAACTCCTGACCTCAAGTGATCCGCCTGCCTCAGCCTCCCAAAGTGCTGGGATTAGAGGTGTGAGCCATCATGCCAAGCCTCAGCCTTTTAATGAGTCATAGATCACTCCTCAAAACCCTCATCATCCCTGCACTCACAAAGCCACTGTTCCAAACAATCATTAGGCCACAGATGAGTTGCCATAGTAGCCTCCTAACTGATCTTGTTTCCCCTGTCCTTCAATCATTCTCACCATAAAGCCAAAGTGTTTCTCTGTAGGCATATGCCACTCCTCTGGTAAGACTTTTTATGTCAAAGACTTTTTATGTCACTCATAGTGAAATCCCAAACCCTTAGAAATACTTAAAATATTTTGAGATCTAATATCTCTTAATCATTCTCTCTCAATCATTTCAAATACCTCTCCACACTTCTTCCTTTTTGGCTACACTATCTTCCTTGCTATTCCTAAACATCTCAAACATGTTTTCTGTAAACATTAAACATGTTTAATCTGAGATTTTGCCTTGTTGTTCTCCCTAAGATGCACTTCCCAAAATATTTCCCTTGTTATATCTCTTATCTACTTTAGATTTGTATTAAAACATCATCTTTGAAGGAAGTCTTGCTCTAACTATTCAACCTAAATTAGCACTTCCTCCCAACCACACCTTCTATTCCCTTTCCCTGCTTTTTAAAAAATAACACCAATCTGTGTTTTTTTTTTTAGACAGAGTCTCGCTCTGTCACCCTGGCTGGAATGCCATGGTGCAATCTTGGCTCACTGCAAGCTTCGCCTCCTGGGTTCAGGCCATTCTCCTGCCTCAGCCTCCTGACTAGCTGGCACCACAGGCGCCTGCCACCATGCCTGGCTAATTTTTTGTATTTTTTTTTTTTTTTTTAAGTAGAGACGGGATTACACCATGTTAGCCAGGACGTTCTCAATCTCCTGACCTCATGATCTGCCCACCTCAGCCACCCAAAGTGCTGGGATTACAGGCATGGGCCACCACACCCAGCCGGTAACACCAATCTTTAAATAACATTTTGTATTTTGATAATTTGTTATGCTCATTTTCTGACTCCTCTCTACTTACTGTGACCATAATTTAACATTCGTGAAGGTGGACACTTTATGTTTTTTAAGTTGTACAATTCATACATATTGTTTGAATTAATCAACACTTATTCCAAGTGGTTGTTTTAAAAATAGAGGAGATAATATATATAATCTGAGTAAATTTGGTGAATAGTAGAATCTTAATAAATGCTTTCTATTATCAAGGAGAGTCCTTGAAACCTCAATGATATGATCATATATTATGATATGGAGGTGGGCATCTGTATTGATTTGGAGAAGGAGGTTCATTAATTTCCATTTCAGTACTCAAGGAACATTTGAATGGAAAAGTGAATAGTAGACTTGTCTATCTTCCTGCTTATAAAAACAGAAGGTAATTTTTTATTTAACTTAAGAAGCTAGAGGTTGCTACTTGAATTGCATATTTAGATGGGGATTTTCCTAATCAAAGTTTTTATTCCCATTGAATTAAATATTGCAATATATGTCATTTTATTTTTGGTTTTGTAAATAGTAAATAATTTTATAACCCAAGGTTATTAAAATTTATTCATAATCTTTATTATATAATAACAGTGACAATGGTGAAAAATCTTTGTGGTCAAAAATACTGTATAATTAATTAAATATTTTTAAAAATTGTCAGTTTAAAAGAAAAACTAATATCTAATTTTCACTAAAACAGCTCTTCTTATAAAGATTATTCGAAGCTGTTATCTATCAGTTTGGGTATATATTTAGTTTTATAAAATTGGAAAAAAAAAGTAAAACTTTACTTTTAAAATTAACACTCCATGTCTTTATACCAATTAATGGTCATAAAAGCTGAAAAATGATGTGTAACAACTCATCAAGTACTAGGTTGGATGAATTAAAAATCCTTTGAATGGTCCTAAATTATCTCTCTGGCAAATTAAAATATTTAATTTAAATATGTGATTATAAAGTGATTACATATTGCCTGGTAGCTGGGGTTACTGGTGCATGCCAACATGCTCAACTAATTTTTGTATTTTTAGTAGAGACAGAGTTTCACCATGGCTGGTCTCATACTCCTGACCTCAAGTGATCCACCTGCCTTGTCTTCACAAAGTGCTGGGATTACAGGCTTGAGACACTGCGCCTGGCCAACAGCACAGTTTTTAAATGAATTATACCAAACCTTCAAGGAAATGATATGCCATATCTTATATAATTTTTCTTAAACCTCTCACATCGTTTATAATGTTGATAGCAATATTCCCAAAAAGTCTGTATGAAACAGTCATATATTCATTAAAATATGAGTATACTTAATTCATCAATGTGCAAATAAAATAATGATAGAGGCAGGATAATTTTTTGCTCCTTAGTTCAGCTAAATCCAGGTTCTTTTCTCGCGACCAGGAAAAATTGGGCACATAGACACATTGAAGGGTGAAGAGGGCAGAATTTATTGGGTGAAAGGAAAAGAGAGGGGTCCTGCATGCAGGTTGGCTCCACCACATTCCCTCAGTGCATGTGGCCCTCCAGTCCCTGCAGGCATGCCTAGGAAAACCCCCTGGGTAGGTTCCCTTATCTGCACAAAACATTTGATGTAACACTTGGGCAGGTTGGAGATTCTCCAGGGACCCTTCCTTATCTACCTGGGCATTTGTCTGCCTCCTGCCTCTATTAGGAATACATTGTGGGCCGGGCGCAGTGGCTCATGCCTGTAATCCCAGCACTTTGAGAGGCTGAGGCGGGCAGATCACGATGTCAGGAGATCGAGACCATGCTGGCTAGCATGGTGAAACACCATCTCTACAAAAAAAAATACAAAAAAATTAGCCTGGCATGGTGGCAGGCGCTTGTAGTCCCAGCTACTCGGGAGGCTGAGGCAGGAGAATGGCGTGAACCCAGAAGATGGTGCTTGCAGTGAGCCGAGATGGTGCCACTGCACTCCAGCCTTGGCGACAGAGTGAGACTCCGTCTCAAAAAAAAAAAAAAAAAAATACATTGTGACCAAGTAGGTTTTAAATTTGAAGAGCGTGAGTGATATAATATTAAGAAAAACTATTACTATACATATGAATATTAACAGACTATTACTCTTTGTCCATATTAAAAACACTTAAAATATGCCAATAATAGGGACTTTTGGTAACCAACCAAAACATCTACATAACACCTCTAGTAATCATATTATTTAATGTTGAAATATTAGGACCATTTTCATTCTGATTAAAACATTAGGATTAAGATAGGAATTACCAGAGTTTCGAGTCAAAATTTCGTTGGTGATTCTAGCTAACATAATGAAACAACAAAAAATAGTATAAAGTTAGAAAGCAATAAATAAAATTCACAAAAGTTAGGATTGAATATCAATAAAGTCAATGTCTACATAGAAACTTTAACTAATAGAATTCTAAAAGTATACACATTCTGAAAGATCATTACACTAAATGTGTCAATGCCCTTTTATAACTACAAACAACATAGGAATAAATGAAAAAAAAATAACTCTAAAGTCTGACTGCAGCTAGAACTATTACCTTATGAAGGAAATAAAATAGGACAAATAAATAATAATTTACACTTCTAATGAAATTTAAATCTGCATATCTCAGCCATTCTACTTTCAGGAAATCTTGAAAAACTTGGAAAAATTTTAACCAATCTATATAGGAAAACTTGGACAAGGCTATTTATTATACATTTTATGAATTGTATAATGAATAAATGAATTATAACTCATATAATAAATAAATTTATAGTGTAATTATAAAACATGAATAAGGAGGAAACTCCTAAAATGTAGAATAGTGGTTACTTTCAGGTGGGAGAGAGAAGAATAAGAGTGGGGAGTCAAACAATGGAGACATAGAAGAATTAAACACGATGATAAATGAGACAGACTTACAATATGCATTGGATATACATGCTGATAGAGGATGTGTCACCTTATCAAATGTACATCAATATTTTAAAATGGCTATATATTACATGATAGAGAACATCAATAAGTTTGCTGAAATAGAAATATATCATTCCCTGATGAAAAAGCAATCAAAAAGGAAATTTTCAATAAAATAAACACAATAACATACCAAAGGCCTTTCCAGCAGGAAATTTAATAAAACCTTTTCCTGAAAGAAAAACAAGAAAAAAAAAAAACTCTTGTCTAACAAGGGAAACGCAAATCTTAAAAAATCCTATCAGATATCTATAACGTTCATTTTTTAAAACCTATAAGGGACAGATATTGTTTTGAAGCACAGGCAAAAATAAAAAGCTCTTCAAGCCATTATTAAAAGACTAGAAAAATCTCAATATCAAACTGGCTAATCTTACTACTGTAAGCCAATATCACTTCTGCATTTAAATGTAAATATTCTAAAAAAATGAAAAATGTCTGTTCTGTAGAAAAATAATGAATCAGGGCCACATACTGCTTATAAAAGGAGATCTTTACCACTTTTCCCAGATACAAAATGCTTCATTATATGGATGTATTAATTTATTCATTCACTGTTCTGTTTATGGGCATAGTGTTTTATTTTTCCTTTATCTTCTTTTAGTTACACATAATACTACATGAATATTTTAGTTGTTGTTGATGTATCATTAGCCTTAATTCATAGAAATAGGTTTGCTGGGCCAAAGGTTAAATGTTAATGTGCTTTTGTGGGATATTGCCAGATTTCTCTCCAGTTAGAATTGCATATGAGCAATGTTTTATCCACAGATTCACGCTCAGACTGTCATCATACAGTTTTGTACTAATCTGATAGGTGAAAAGTGAGAAATTAAACCACAGTGTAGTTTAATTTGCATTTTTCCAATTATAAATCATAGCAAAGTTTTTTGTTCCTTGCTTTCATTTTTTAGATACATCTGGGAGCCAGCCTGAAACATAGAACACAATGATTCTTGCCATAATACCATAATGGTATTATGTCCTTACGTAGTCCACTTCTACACTGAAACAAGGGTTGCCCTTGTGACTGATAGAATACTGTATATATGATGGTGTGTGACTTCTAAGAACAAGCCACAAAAGGCATGCCAGCCATAAAAGATAAGCCTTTAGACTCCTGCTTTGTTCAGTCTAGAATAATCCAATTGTCATTCTATGACAACACTCCAGCTGTCTCATAGAGAGAACCTATCAAGAACAACTGAAGTATTTAATCAACAATCAATACCAACTCTCAAGCCTGTGGGAGTGATTCACCTTGATATCAAATCATCCAGCCCCATTTCAGCCTTCATATAATTCTAACCCTGGATGATTTCTGAATACAGCCTCATAAAAGATTTAAGTCAGAAATTCCCCGCCACTTTATCCTAGTGTTGGCTCCAGGTAAAGGGGCTCTCCAATTTGTTTGTCTGAAAATGTATTTTATTTATCAGTATTCCTGGAGGATATTTCCCAGTGGAAATAAAATGCTATAATGGTAGTTATTTTCTTTCAGTACTTAGAAAATGACAAACCAGTATTTCTCTTGTGAATATGACTGAGTTATTTTGTCACTTCAGTAAATGTAAATTGTAGGTTTCTATTACTTTTAGGATTTTTGTCTTTCTCCTCCAACAGTTTTGTTATGATAAGTGTGATTTTTTGTTTGTTTGTATTTTGTTTTTTGAGACGGAGTCTCGCTCTGTCGCCCAGGCTGAAGTGCAGTGGCGGGATCTCGGCTCACTGCAAGCTCTGCCTCCCGGGTTCACGCCATTCTCCTGCCTCAGCCTCCTGAGTAGCTGGGACTACAGGCGCCAGCCACCGCGCCCGGCTAATTTTTTGTATTTTTTTGTAGAGATGGAGTTTCACCGTGTTAGCCAAGATGGTCTTGATCTCCTGACCTCGTGATCCGCCCGACTCGGCCTCCCAAAGTGCTGGGATTACAGGCGTGAGTCACCGCTCCTGGCCGCTAAGTGTGATTTTATTTCATCTATCCAATTGTGTTTTGTAGAATTTCTGAAGTCTTTGTAGATGGATGTATTTTGTCAATTATTTTTTAGTTTTGCAAACTTCCCATTCATTATTTCTTATGATTTTGTCCATCTGCTTTAAACTGCATTTTTCTATTGATAAATAATTCTGTTAATATATTGTCTCTTTAGTTGCCTCTAATCTGTTGTTAAGCACATCTACTGAGTTCATAATTTAAACTACATTTTATGTTTTTTGAAGTTCATTCATTCTTTTTATAAATTTCAATTCAATGCCGAAATTTTGCTTTATTTTATTTATATTCTTGACCTTACAGTTGTAAATTAAACATTTTGACAATACTGATATCCGTGTCATTCAGGAGTCTTTTTTTTTTGGTGAATTTTGATTTTATCTCCTGATGTGACCCTCATTTTGCATTGAATGTATATTTGTATAAATACACACACACACAGACACAGAAAAAAAAAGCTGGAGACTCGAAATGGTGTCACTTTCCTGGCAAGAGTGGTTATTTTGCTTCTGGAAGCCATTAAAAAATGGGCAGGTGATCTTAATTCGACTTGTATTGTGGTGATTCTCAGGTTTATTTTACTTTGATGAGCAATTTCCAAACTGTTCTTTCTTTAGTTTGTCTCACTTCAGAGCCTATACTAAAACCCTACAGTGTTTTTTAGAGATCCTCCATCTGTGGTGGACAGTGATCTCCATAATAACCTGCCAAAGCTGTTTTAGCCTCGGAGACGCTTAGCCACTACTTATTTGCTTAGTTATTAGCCTTTTTTCATGCTGTGTTCAAAGAACAAAAATACCCTGGAAGGAAAGAGTGATGCAAGATGTAAGGCTCATTTGCATTTCAGTTTTCTCTGTGATCTTATAAACTCAATTTCTGTCTACTTTCATGATCCTGAACTCTAACATTTGTTCTTTAGCTCTGATGGAAGAAAACACTGTTGTATTCCATATTCTCTTAGTTATGGTTTTCTACATAGCTCTTCAGGACCTTTACCTCTTCAGGACCTTATGCTAAATGCCTCTAGAGAAAAATAGCAAAAAAAATGAAGTTTATATTGTTTTCTTTCCCCTTCTTACTGGAATATCAATTTCTGATTCTACTTGAATTTTAATAACATTTTCCTTTTTAGAGCATCAGGTCCTACCAGCCAGTTTTATATAGCTGTAAGTGGAAGTTTACTTGCTCTCTTGTTTGCAATATTCACAGTATCAAATTGCCCTTAAATTCTTTTCCTAATACGGGTAAGTATGTATGTTAGCCTGTTTTGTGGGTTTTTTCCCAGCTTAAAAAAATTGATATTTAAATATTTTGAAGATACTGATATCTGACTTCTTTCTACATTCTTTACCAATAATTATTTATTAAGATTTTATTTTCCAAATCATTTGGATCAGTGTACGTGTCCATTCCCTTTCATTGTAAATCTAATTTATAATTTTCTTTGATCTTTTAACTGAAAAGAGTTATTTTTTTACCTGTACATGGAGATATAATTGCTGTTGCTGTTTTTGTATTGATTCTGTAAATTCTTTCTCAGAGACTATAACTGTTCTAATTGGAAGATAATAGACAATCATCACCTTATAGAAGACATACAACACAATTTTGTAATAGTGTCCCTTGTAATTCACTGCCTATAGATAGTGTGGGGTACTTATATTAGGTATGCTATCACTTGTAAAAATAACTCGTTAATTGCATGGGTATTAGGAGTCCTGTCCATACTTCTTACTGTTTTTATAACCTTGTACAAATTAAACTAACATATCTTTTTTTTTTTTTTTTGAGACGGAGTCTTGCACTGTCTTCTGAAACTCAATTTATATTCCTCTCTGAAGTGATTTTAAAGACACACAGTTTCCTTTATAGTAATTACACAGTTGAAAATTTCAGTTATGCATTAGAACAACACAGATTTTGTTGGATGCTATTATCTTTATACATAGCTTTTTCTAAATATATAGACTGAAAAATATGTAAGAATGTAGAAAAATAGCAATCGAAGCTGCAAATTTGTCAACCTAAAAAAGACAAAATAACTGCAATTTTTCTACATGATTATTTTCCCAGCCTATCTTAAATGCTACATTTTTTAGATTCTATGAGCATCACTACCATAGTGTATACACACACACGCACACACACATAATTGTAGGGTTTACAGTTTAGCTTATACTTAGTATTTCCAGAACAAAGATTTTTATTTGTTCATCCAACTGCTCATTCAGCCATATTGAACTAGAAGGGAAGCAACTTCTTTTTTGTTACGCTTTAGTAGACACAGTTTGGCAAGTGTTTTTCAATAAGCTTCACCTTATTCCTGAAAAAAATCAGGCATTCTCTAAGCAGGCAAAAGCTAATAAATCAAATGCAATGTTAATCAATAAAAGTAATCAGCCTCTGAAGCAAAACCTGTGTATTACAATATGGAACAACTAGCTTTGGGGTGTACTTTAAGACACAGTTTGAAGTGTAAACACAGAGTTGTTCTTTCCACTTTATTTCAAGTAACATTAGAATTTTAGATAAGACAAGTTTAACCAGATTATTTGAGAGTATGTGCACTGATGAGTCTAAAAAGAATGTTGAAAAGAATCATGGAAATCAGTGTGAAAACAATTCTATGCAATATGATGTATTACATAAAAATGAGCTCTGCTGTGTAATTCCAAATGAGACTTTGCTTGTGAAATGAAAATGCACCTTTGTGGTTTACGTGCCATTCAAAGTTTTCATCTAACTTCCATGTCAGCATCTATTGTGCATTTTTCTCATCCTATTATCAACTGTAGATTTAGTGGCATGCCTAGTTATTTTTTAATTGCATTTGGTTAAATTGTTCTACACTTTATGCTTTGCTGACATAGATTTTTAAATTAATTAATTGACTACATAAGATACTTAGAGTAGCAGAGAAACTAGCATAAGAGTGGAATATTAAAGCAATTGAGCATTAAAAAAGAAGAAATTGAATAAATTATTAGAAGAAATTGTATAAAAATGGTTAGCAAAAAAGGTATTAAAACCAAAAATAACAAAAGCTACAATGAACTCGTAATTAAGAATAAAAGAAAGCTTAGTTGGAACACATTATTTTTTAGCATTACAAAATCTTTATGATAAAAAATGCAAGTATTTCAGCCAATTTTTGCTAAAATAAACTCCCCCAATTCTACTATATATAACAATGTTAATGAAAAGTCTATTTACAAACTTTAAAGTCTATCGAAATGATAAATACTTATGATTATATTATCAAAAAGTGCTAATAACATTATCTTTCTAAAAATATCATTAATCTATTAAGCTCTTTAAATATTAAATATCTAAATAGCACTAATCCAGTAATATAACTATGATAACAATAAACTATCATCAACACTTAACGATTTTTTACTACACAACAAGCATGTAATTTCTGACATATGGTCTACGTCAGCGGTCCCCAACCTTTTTGGCACCAGGGACTGGTTTCTTGAAAGACAATTTTTCAACAGACCAGGGTTGGGGGATGGTTTCGAGACGATTCAAGTGCATTACATTTATTGTGCACTTTATATTATTATTACATTGCAATATATAATGAAATAATTTTACAGCTCACTATAATGTAGAATCAGTGAGATCCCTGAGCTTGTTTTCCTGCAATTAGACGGTCCTATCTGGGGATGATGGGAGACAGTGACAGTTCATCAGGCATTAGGTTCTCATAAAGAGCATGCAATCTAGATCCCTCACATGTGCAGTTCACAGTAAGGTTCACACTCCTGTGAGAATCTAATGTCACTGCTGATCTGACTTGGAGGTGGAGCTCAGTCAGTAGTGCAAGTAATGGGGAGTGGCTGTAAATACAGAGGAAGCTTCTCTCGCTCGGCTTACCTAGCAGAGTTCTTAACAGGCCACAGACCAGTACCAGTCTGTGGCCTGGCGGATGGGGCCTCCTGATCTACAGTCTATATTGCAAGTCTGTAAACAGCTCTCTCATATTTGAAAAACGAAATATAAAACTTTAACTTGGGGTTTATTTGTAAATGTTCCCACATCTAAGCTTCATTTTAAGTATTTATAGCCCATGGGGAGCTGCAAAATATATTGAAGACTAAAGCACTTAGATGAGCAACAGTCAGTTTGGGGACTAGAGAAATACAAAGTCTGAAAGGACTATTAGCTGCATAAACAGCAGGCAGAAAGGAGCACTGGGCACAGCAAAACACCAGCGTTGACCTGTATGTTTGGTTTAGATACATGAGAGCTAGTGTAGCACAGCTCACCTACTGGAACCTCATTACCAAGCTCATTATGGACTTATTGCTAGCGTAAAGCTGCTACACTGTATTAACTCCAGCTAGGAAGAAAATTGGAGTACCAGGGGCAAAATCATGTATGTGACCTGTCAGATTAAGACCTACTGATGCCTAAAACTTAGGAGCTGTTGTGTGGAATTAATTTCTAAGTTACTATAATATGCCTCAAGTAAGGATTCAGTTAGGGTTTCTTATTTTTGTAATAAAAGGAAATGTAAAATTCAATGATCTATGTGTAGAGACTTTCATGTTCAATTTTCAACAGTTGATATCTATCATCTATTCCAGTTTTTCAAGTAGTAACTTTATGAAATGAGGTTTATTTGTGTGTCCTTGACCACTATATATGAGAAGCTCCAGGCTTCTAGGAAAATTGTCCATAAGCATGTTTTTCCAGAATAATTAAAATTTATCAGGAAAGTATTTACAGTTAAGATTGCCAAATGTTTGTTTAATGAACTTATACTTCTCAAAAACAAGTTCTTTGAAGTTCAATTTTAAAGCGTGTTAATTCATTCTAATGTGGCATAAAGCCTTTTTTGTAATAGGGCTAATGGAATTTTATTCTCTATCTCTGCTGAAGTGATTATAAACTTTCACTTAACAATATCTCTGTAGCTTTTATGGAAATCCCCAAGGGTTAAGAAAAGGGCCAGAGAATAGCATAATCACAATCATTTTTTCATATTAAAACTGTTACTTTTTACACATTTAACCATTTAGAATAGTTATGAATCATTAATTTATGTTAGTGTATGGTTTTAATACCCTGAAGCAGGCAGAGTCTTTTACCAGTTTTCATTATAGGACTCCACTCTGTGCCACCTGGATCTTATGAATCAGCAGCTGCTTTCAACATCAACTGGACAATCAGCATCCATGGTCATAGGGCGAGGAGCTTAATTATGAGACTTAAACTTCTAACATGAGGACAACAATTTTGTTTCGATTCTTAAAGTCTATGAAAGGAGCTTGTCTTTTCTATCCCAGCAATTGAATTATTTACTATTTCAACTTGCCTAACTGATGAAGTACCCTAGGAGCTTCTTCAAAGTTTATAATACAAGTGTTAATAACCACACTTTAAACCTCTAACAGAAGTGTAAAATACCAGTAGATGATGATAAATCTCAGAGTGTGCAATACACCCTGTTATAGTTGAAGAGCACATTTTTCTTAGGCTAATGACTATCTGTCATGTGTTTAAAAACCAAAGACCTCAAAACTCCAGTGTATAAAATGAAATTTTAAAAAGGTCTAAAAAATGCAAATTCCCCTAGAATTTGTGAAAATAACTTACTGCTTTAATTTTTATCCATTGTTTTTGCATCAGCAATTAAGGTAATATGAGTAAACTTTAATGCTATCTGCTAATATTTTTATATCAATTACATTAGATCTCACTTTCCAGACATATTTCTTAAGTTGATAACCAGATATCTATCACATTTATCCACAATGTTCTTTAATATCTACATTTTTCATTTTATTATACATATTTTCAGTAACTTGAATATGAATTACAAATAAAAAAGAAGGTATACTGCAATAAAAAATTAGTTGTAGTGTTTATTTTATGCCTTTATAATAACCAAAAGTAAAATAAACCAACAGGTTCATTTGATTCAACCAAAAGTAAAATGAACCAAAGTTAAATTGAGCAAATATTGAAAATAAAAATTAAAAGTGCTTCTAACAAATTTTGTTTTAATGTATTAATTGTTTAATTAAATTAGTTAGAATTAGTATAATAAGAGTATGATGGAGATTAGTTTGTTAGTGGATTGAACATTATCACTCCTCTGTCTCTATGTAAGGCTTAGTGAACCAGATTTCATGAGGTATCTGTGAAGGTGGAAAGTGGACTGAATAATAGTAAAGAAGTTAACAAAATTCTCAAACTAATAGGACAGTAAACTGAAAAAAAAGTTCATAAAATTAAAAAACTAGAAGTGATATTGAAACTGACCCAGTAGTCTCATAGACAGGTGTTTTTTTTGTTCGTTTGTTTTGATAAACATAGAAATTGACCATTCTGGTCTTAAAGCTTGAAACTCACCACATCCAGACAATGAGATGCCAGGCCCCTCATTCATTATGATTGTTTCCTTACCCATCCCAAGTTCCTATTTTCCAATAGATAGCTACATTTCTTCCCTACTATAAAAACTCCTCATTTTAATTGGCCAGGGAGATGAATTTGAGACTGATCTCCCATCTCTTTGACTGCAGCACCCAATTAAAGCCTTCTTCCTTGTCAATAATCATTGTCTCAGTCATTGGGCACTCTGTGTGGGGAACAGAAGAACCTAGACTAAACCCCTGGTGTTTTGGTAACAATATCTTCCAGAGAGAGGAAGGTAAGTGTTTTCTACGGATGCCATAATAAATTACTCCAACCATGGGGGCTTAAAACCACAGAAATACACTCTCTCATAGTTGTGGATACCAGAAGTTCAAAATCAAGGTATTGGCAGGGCTGCACTTCCTCCAAAGGCTGTAGGGAAGAATACGGTCCTGGCCTCTTCCAGCTTCTGGTAGCTGTCAGCATTCCTTAACATTTCTTGGCTGTAGCCACATTACTTCAATCTCTGCCTATGGCTTTACATTACTGTCTCCTGTGTGTATCTGTGTCCTCTTCTGTCTGTGTCTAAGGACACTTGTAGATATATTCAGGATAATTCAGAATTATATCATCATCTAAAAATTCTGAACATAATTACACCTTGTATACCCATTTTCCAAATAAGATAATATTTATAGATTTCAGGAATGAGGATGTGGATATATCTTATAGGGGGACCAATGTTGAGCCCACTACAGAAACTAACAATTTGTTTTTTAAATAATAAGATCATTCTCACAAGTCAATCCTTTTTCAGTGCCCAACTCCTCCCAGAACAAGGATATAAGAATAGTAGGTTTATTCTGTCTGTCATGAGCAATGACTTAGATTTGTGGTTAAGAGGACAAGAACTCACTCATAGGCTTGGTTATATTTGGCAGTCATGAGAAAAACAAGATTCTAAATGATTAAATACTCAAGTACACTCTTCAGCAGTGAACTCATAAGCATTGGAGGTAAGATGGAATATATCATCTTTGGCATAAGCCCCAGTCTTCACCTCTCCACACATACATATATCACCTCCAGTAATGAGCAGCAAAGGAAAACTGTACTGTAAACCAATAAGTGTCTATGAACAGGTTAAAAATATAAAATATGCATTCAGCTGAAAATCACCAAAACTTAATGACAGAAAGCAGCATGAGATAGCGATAATATAACAAATTCAGGTAACAAGCAATCTCATGCCCAAGAACAAAATTTTAATAACACAAACAAAAGGAAAATAATTGACATTATCAGTGTCTTTAACGAAATGTAAGACTTAACCTCCCACCATTAATAATTATAAAATCTAGGTTAAAAGTTTCAAAATAAACAGATCTTCAAAGGTGTCAGAAAATATCAAAATCAGCCATAAATCAAGTGGCTGAGATCTCAAAGAACAGATAAGGAAGCTGAAGAAATCCCAGGTTCATCAATGCATTAATCCTTAGAGCATTTGATAATTTGCTCATTCCTGGAAAATGCCTAGAGATTGAAAAGAAAGTGGTTGCCTAGAGTCTGAGGAGTTCTTGCAGGGCTAGAGAGAAAATAATTACATAGAGACCAGGCAGGACCAAGCTGCCATGACTTGAGACATTATAACCATGAAAAAAAGCTATGAAACATGCATGAACCTAATATTTTATAAGCAATATATGCCATTAAGGCATTTAATAACTCCTAAAGGGCAAGTGCAGGGTGCAAAAGGAGACAAACAACACAAAAAACTGCAGCTCTATGGCTAAAAAATTAATCAGAAAAGTATTCAACATCAAAGTACTGTGGAGAAAATTGGAGTTCAGTATCACCTAAAGAAAATGTGTCCTGGAAAACACACCAGACTTTCATTTGTAGCATCAGCAGATTCTGATACTAACGAATAGACAGTTTTAATTGAATTAAAATGATTTGCTCATATTCTGTGCACCTAGTGGAACAAGTCTATTGTCTTCAGAAGGAAAAGGTATGATTTCACTTACAAAGTACAAAATTTAATTTGAAATTACCAGGCATTCCAGATTTAAGAATAAAAGTAATAAAAACCAAAGTAACTGACAGATTATATAAACATGCAGAGCAGATCAAGATGAAGAAGTTATCATGCAAGAATTTTATTGGAATTATCATTAATATGTTTGAAAAAAATGAATAAAGAGAATTTCATCAAAGTATTAGAATGATTAAAAATAACTTAAGTCATAGATCTCAAAAATAGGATAATTAATATTATAAATCAGTAGATGGGCTTAACCAAAGATCACGCAAAATAGGCAATAGATCAAGATTAAAGAAGGAGATCAAAATCATTGGGAAATAGCTAAAAAATACGGACATGTCAGAAAAGGTCTAGGTACTAGAAAAAAAAATCAAAAAGGACACATATGGGGCAAAATAAAAATGTTTACTAAATGTGTAATTGAAGATTCTGAAAGAGGAATAAAGGCAAAAGCAATAATTTAATAAATATTTTATTTACCAAAGTTGAAAAAGAAATCAAGCCCCAGGTTCAAGAAGCTCTGTGAAATCAAATTAATATAAAGACAAAAATATTTACATCTTACCAAATCAGAATAAAACGGCATAAAATGGAAGACAAAGAGAAGAATTATTTTAAATAGCCAGCAAATTATATATTTACTTTAGAGGGACAAAAACTACAAAACAAATGACTTTTCAACAGAAATCATAGAAATTAGAAAACAATAAATGATTTCTGTAATCTGATGAAAGAAAAAATAAATAACAATGTAGAAAGAATTTTTTTTCAGAGAAAGGGTCTTGCTATATTGACCAGGCTGGACTCAGATTCCTGGGTTCACATCATCCTCCCACCTCAGCCTCGCATGCCACCACCTTAGGCTCCATGTAGAATTTTGTATCCAACATTAAAAAATGTAATTAAATAAATCCTGCTTTTAGTTCAAGATGTAGAACTTCAAAGAGCACCACTCTACACTTACAAGGAAAAGCTAGACAAGTTAAGAACTTTACCTTAATTCATTCGAAAACTCAGGTAGCTGGGCAAGCAAGTAACTTGAAATATGAGAGACAAGCACATGCAGGAAGAAAGAGGATCTGAGCATTTCCATTCCTGGAAAGACATCACTGAGTGCCATTATATCCCTTAAGTGCTATATAAGCTAGGAAGAAGATTAAACTATAAATTTTCAATGAATTGCTAAAGGCCAGTTTTTGGCTAATGTGTAATTATGATGATTCTGGGACCACAGATACGAAAAAAGTGGTTTTACCCAGTGGCAAGATAATCTTTCAGGAACCCCACCAAGATTGGGGAGAATTCTGAGAAGCTTCACTCACAGTGCTACGTGAAGCAGAGGAGAAGCAACTGAAAAACATTAGCAGACATTGCTAGATCTCCCCTATGTCACATCTGTGGCTAGCTTCGATGTTTGCTTTGTGTCTTGGGAATATTTTGTTTAATCATTCTTATATTTCCTTATCTTATTGGTTTTATCAAAAGCTGGACATCCTGTGTAGGAAAGTGGGGATGGAATAAAGCTATTTTCTTCCTAAACCTGGCCATGCTTTTCCTTCCTTTAGGGCTTTAATACAGTTGTTTGAGTTAATTTAGTTGGAAGTTAGACTGGGTTTGAAATGTGTTACTGCTTTAGTCCTGCTCAGTTTTTATGCCATTTTTGTTATTGTTTGTTATGTTTCTAGTGTAGGGGTTTGAGCCGATCTAATTAGGGGTTGGGCTTGAATTAAGGTTGGTTTTTACCATAATTACTTTCAATGCACCACAAGGGGCAGGTTCTTCTAAAAATATCTTTTGCCTAAAGTGGGATTTTATTTACTCCAGGATTTTAAGAAAATGTGTTTCTGTGCTTGTTTGTTTGTATATTGTCTACCTTTGGCAGTATATCTATACATTGGTATTAGTAATGGTTAATTTTATGTGTCAACTTGTCTAGATTATGGTACCCAGACATATAGTCAAACATTATTCTGGAGGTCTTGGTGAGGATAATTATAGATGAGATTTAACATTTAAACTGGTAGACTTTGAGTAAAGCAGATTTCCCTCCATTCTGTGGGGAGCCTCATCCAATCAGTTGAAGGACTGAATAGAACAAAAGACTGACCTGCCCCAGAGCAAGGGGGAGTGCTGCCAGCAAATAGCCTGCAGACTTGAACCTCAACATCTGCTCTTCCCTAAGTCTCCAGCTTGATGGCCTTCAAAATTGAACTGCAGATTGTGGACTTGCCAGCCTCTATAAATCGTGTGAGCCAATAGCTTAAAATAAAACTCTCTCTATATGTACAGACTCTGCAGGCTCTGTTGCTCTGGATAACACTGAATAATACAGTATCCAACTTTTGTTAGCCTGGTGTTGAGAAGAGAATTCACTCTTTTCTAATTTAAGTTTTATCTTGGACAAGCACAAAGCCTCTGTGTCTCAGCTATCTATTCTCAGTGCTTCTACCCCTTTGCAGGTGTATTTCCCAGCCCACATTGTATTTTTATCCCTCCTCCAGGGGAAATTTTTGTTTGTTTGATTGATTGATTTTCTTCATTCAGATGCAGTATGTTTACTTCAGTGCCCTAATGGTGACAATGTTTGTTGGTTTTACCTCCACATGTTAAAGCTTATGTTTCAGAAGGGAGACAGTGGAGAAAAATACAAATGGAATTGCATGCCCATCCTACCATTGCATCTGTTCTTTAGGTCTACACCATAAAGGACCTTTTCCTATGGCTTTATCCAATAAATTTTGTGAGTACTTGATGGGGTTCATGGAGAAAACTCTCAAGAGGATATGGACTTTCCCAATTTCTGTAGCCTCCAGGGGCCTCACGCTCCCTCACCAATCCACTCCTGATGTCCACCAATCTTCTGCTCAGTATCCAATGTCCTCAGAGGCCATTACTTGTGTTTAGTCTCTTCCTGCAGGCATGTCTTTAGATTTCAGGCCAGTTCATTGTTCTGCAATTTCAGGTTTAAGGAAAGTTGTGAATTTATAGTTTGACTTTTTTTTCCTTGTAAGATTATAAGCAATACTCTTTCTAGGTGTCTACAAATCTGAACAGATAGCAGATGTCAACAACAGATTTTTATTAAAATGCTTGGGTAACTTTATCATCATTTGTAGTATGAAAAGAAACCATATCTCACATTGTGTGCAAAGAAAAAATTTTGTTAGATTAGAAATATAAATGTAAAAATGAAACCATACAAGCATTACATGTGGCCTGAAATCTAAAGAGGAAGAAAACTTTGATTGCAAACAAAAGAAAAAATTTGCATGGGCAATTTAATATAAAGGTATAAAAATAGATTTTGAAAATATGAAAACATTTAAAAACTTACTCATATTTAAATAAATACAGTTAAAACAACAATGTGATACTACTTCTTAGCATCATATTGGAACAATTTTATAAGTGTGAAAACATGGTTGGTGACGCTGTGCTATCACGCATATTCCGTATTACTGGTAGAAATGCAAACTGGCACAACCTTTCTGGAGGGAATTTGACAATACCTAACAAAACTACTTAGGAACTGAACTTTTGCCCCAGAAATCTTATTTTTAGAAATCTAACCTGAAGATGCCTTTCTTATATGATGAAAATACATTTGAGCAAGGTTGTCATTGGAGCATTGTTTGTAATTGGAAATAATATAATGTCTGTGTAAAAGAGAAGGTGAATTAACTGTTAGTTTACTGTAGTTTAAGCTTCACATCTAGGGGCAGTGAAATGCCCTGATCATCCACACTACATAGGAAGTCAGATCACATTATATTAGATAGTCCCCACTAGAGGCATGGCTATTATAATCATTTTTATTACTCATATCTTAATTACCATTTTTCTACCTCACTAATTAAAATCATGAATATAATAAGTATGATTAGTAAAAACTGTAACTTGTTGCTAGAGTGCTGGGGATTGGAATGGACTCTTTGGAGATAGTTTGCGCTCTTGCATGCAGATGATGTAAAGATTTAGCAAGGTCTTTACAACATATTACCTTAACTACTTTGGAAATAGTCCTACAAATTCATGGCCAGATAATACGAATCTTGTAAGACTTACAGTCCTGTCTCTTAGGAATGGCACCTGAGTTTTGATTCATAAATGACTTTGTTTACCCATGGGTTTCTCAGGATTCTCCTTGCCTGATGTCAATTTTAAGGACAGTAAAATCTTGTTTCTGTTATCGTGTCATTTGTGCTTTAAGGGAAACTTTCTTGAGCTAGTAACCAAGTAAAATTTAAAATTAAGTTTTAATGACCTACAATGGCATGAGAAAAATATAATCTATGTAATACAAAGTGAGAAAAACAAAATGTATTCTTTAAAAATTGTCTCTAACATAAAAGGAATATATTCCAAAACTTTAATTATGTTTAATCTCCAAATAGTAGGTTTATGAGTGATTTAGATTTTCTTTTTTTTTTCTTTTGGTGAAAATTAAGAACATAGAATTTTAAAAATCCATGTTCTCACTAACTATAATTTTAGAATATTGACATTTTTCCATATTTGTTTTATTATTTTTCTTCTTTTGAAAACTCAAAATTAGTAAAACAGTTGAGCTTTCTCTTTTTGGTCCCTGAATATATGAATTTGCCTTATAAAGAAGCAGACACTCTCATGAATCTTATCTCTATATATTCAGTATATTCATTTATTCACTACCTATATATGTATCCATCAGTAGCATGCAGCAGAAGCTCTATTAACTGGTCATCATTTATCCTATCAACAGATTAGCACATAGTCTAATTTTCCCTATAAAATATACTGGTGTCCATAGGGTATTGAATGTCACAGTCCATAATGTACTTCCTGCTAATGCTACTTCACCCACCAAATGCGATTATGTATTACATATTTATCAAGAAGTGGATATTTTAATCCCAAATGTATATATGCCATATGTACCTGTTTTGGATTGATATAATTTAATTGTTATGTATGTATATATTATAGGTAAGAGTAAGTATTTTTTAACAACTAAATTTGAAATTTTGAAAATTCCAAAAACACATTAATGTGAGAAAGACATCTATGAATTTGGGGGGAAAACATGCAAATCTAGAAGACTTTTTTATGATTGCACTGATGTAGAATTTTAAAAAAATTCTTGCTCTAAAGAAAATAAGCTGAATATTATGTATAATACAGTTTATAATGAAACAGAAAAGAAGTCTAAGTGAAATTCCAAGCAATGACCTCATATTCAAAGAAAGAAAAAAATCCACTAAGCCCTAAAGCAAACTGTGTATGAGTGAACACAGATTGATACTTTTGAAATAAAAAGTTAATGGTATCTATGTTTTTAAATGATGTTCTATTTAGCAATTATTTTTTCAATTAAGCAACAAACTGTTGTTAACATTCAATTTATCTAGGAGATCCTTATTTTAATGTTTGGTTGTATTGATTCATAATACATGTGTTTTAAGTATTTTTGCTATCATTATGCTTTTAGCATCTATGTTATAGTGTACAGCTCAATTTAATTTTCTCAAGGACACACATTTCTCTCCCTATACTATATATTAGTCATTTGTCCCTCTGTGGAAATGAATTTAGTATATTTATCTTTATGCTTACATGAAAAGTAGCTCAGGAACAAGTACTGCTGTCCTGAATTAGACATTAATCTACTTTTAGAATTTCTTTATAACTAGAAGATATTCTACAAGTATTATATTTGCTGAAATTGTTGATAGATTTTCTTTTACTTGCAAGATATTCTCTTCTATTTCTACCTGCCTCAACCTTTATATTGTAAATGTTTTCCATTCATGGCAACAGTTTTTTCAGTATTCTTCTGATTAAGTTAAAATCAACGATCTAGTTTTTTTTTTTTTTTTTTGGTTGAAGCATTCTTGCATTTTTGAATTCTGCTTGGAACATACTATTTTTTACACATGGTTGGATTATTTTTTGCTGTCATTTACTTTTAATTTTAAAAACAATAGTATTAGAATAGCATTATATTTTTCTGATATTATAAGATGCCAATTTATGACTGTTGCATCAGCTTCAGAAAATGACCCAAATACCTTTATATTTTTTTCTACTGTAGTTTACAATGATACTTATTTTCATAAATATTTAGTAAACTCAACTTTTCAATTATATAAAACCAGCTTTTTTGCCGTTGTTTATCAAAGATTTTGGATTATTTGTTCATTGCCTGTTCTGTTGGTATGGTCAGATTATCTTTTTTAAAATAAATTAATAAATTTTCATAATGTCTATATTTTCAAAAAACTATTGGCATAAAATTGTGCATAATATTATTCTCTTCTGGTGACCTATATTATCTCTCTAACTATGTTTCCTTTTTCCCTTCCTAGTACTATATATGAATACCTCCCTCAATTTTATTGTTTTCTTATAAGAAGTTTACTTATTTTGTTAATATTTTCAGGTAATTAGTTTTGATCTTTTGTATTGATTTTTGTGTTTTTACTTACTTCATTATCTTATTTTATGGATTATTGAGTTTAACATTTACATGTATTTACAGTCTTTCATCTATTTTTATCTTTTTTTATTATACATATTTATATAGCAATGTTAGACTCTAAATACAGAGTTTGCTACATCCTTCAACTTGAACTACAGTACTTTTATTAACTTACGTAGACATATTTATTTATCTGATTTTTGACAAAAACCTTTCTAGACACTTGGGATATACCAATGTTAAGAACAAAAGCAACCATGGAGCTTACCGTGTTTTGGGGAGGGCAGTGGAAGAATAAAAAATAAAGATGATCATTCAATGCAACAAGAAGAGCTAACTATCCTAAACACATATGCACCCAGTACAGGAGCACCCAGATTCATAAAGCAAGTTCTTAGAGACCTACAAAGAGACTTAGACTCCCACACCATAGTAGTGAGAGACTTTCATCCCACTGTCAATGTTAGACAGATCAATGAGATTAAATTACCAAGGATATCCAGAATTTGAACTCAGCTCTGGACCAAGCAGACCTAACAGACATATACAGAGCTCTTCACCCCAAGTCAACAGAATATACATTCTTTTCAGCACCACATCGCACTGATTCTAAAATTGACAACAGAATTCAAAGTAAAACACTCCTCAGCAAATGAAAAAGAGCAGAAATCACAACGAACTGCCTCTCAGACCATACATAGCACAATAAAATTAGAGCTCAGGCTTAAGAAACTCACTAAAAAACCGCACAGCTACATGGAAACTGAACAACCTTCTCCTGAATGACTACTGGGTACACAGTGAAATGAAGGCAGAAATAAAGATGTTCTTTGAAAACAATGGGAACAAGACACAATGTACCAGAATCTCTGGGACACATTTAAAGCAGTCTGTAGAGGGAAATTTATAGCACTAAATGCCCACAAGAGAAAGCAGGAAAGATCTAAAGTCGACACCCTAACATCACAATTAAAAGAACTAGAGAAGCAAGAGCAAACACATTCAAAAGCTAGCAGAAGGCAAGAAATAACTAAGATCAGAGCAGAACTGAAGGAGATAGAGACACACACACAAAAAAAAACCCTTCAAAAAAAAGATCAATGAATCCAGGAGCTGTTTTTTTGAAAAGATCAACAAAATTGTTAGACCACTAGCCAGACTAATAAAGCAGAAAAGAGAGAAGAATCAAATGGATGCAATAAAAAATGATAAAGGAGATATCACCACTGATCCCACAGAAATAGAAACTGCCATCAGAGAATACTATAAACACTTCTGTGCAAATAAACTAGAAAATCTAGAAGAAATGGATAAATTACTGGACACATACCCCCACTGAAGACTAAACCAGGAAGAAGTTGAATCTCTGAATAGATGAACAACAGGTTTTGAAATTGAGTCAATAATTAATAGCCTACCAACCAAAAAAAGTCCAGGACCAGACAGATTCACAGCTGAATTCTACCAGAGGTACAAAGAGGAGCTGGTACCATTCCTTCTGAAAGTATTCCAATCAATAGAAAAAGAGGGAATCCTCCCTAACTCATTTTACGAGGCCAGCATCATCCTGATACCAAAGCCTGGCAGAGTCACAACAGAAAAAGAAAATTTTAGGCCAATATCCCTGATGAACATTGATGCGGAAATCCCCAAAAAATACTGGCAAACCAAATCCAGCAGCACATCAAAAAGCCTTATCCACCACGATCAAGCTGGCTTCATCCCTGGGATGCAAGGCTGGTTCCACATACGCAAATCAATAAACGTAATCCATCACATAAACAGAACCAAAGACAAAAACCACATGATTATCTCCACAGATGCAGAAAAGGCCTTCGACAAAATTCAACAGCCCTTCATGCTAAAAATTCTCAATAAACTAGGTACTGATGGAATGTATCTCAAAATAATAAGAGCTATTTATGATAAACTCAAAGCCAGTATCATACTGAATGGGCAAAAACTGGAAGCATTTCCTTTGAAAACTGGCACATGACAAGGATGCCCTCTCTCACCACTCCTATTCAACATAGTATTGGAAGTTCTGGCCAGGGAAATCAGGCAGGAGAAAGAAATAAAGGGTATTCAATTAGGAAAAGAGGAGGTCAAACTGTCTCTGTTTGCAGATGACATGATTGTATATGTAGAAAACCCCATCATCTCAGCCGCAAATCTCCTTAAGCTGATAAGCAACTTCAGCAAAGTCTCAGTATACAAAATCAATGTGCAAAAATCACAGGTATTCCCATACACCAATAACAGACAAACAGAGAGCCAAATCATGACTAAACTACCATTCACAATTGCTACAAAGAGAATAAAATACCTAGGAATACAATTTACAAGGGATGTGAAGGACCTCTTAAAGGAGAACTACAAACCACTGCTCAATGAAATAAAAGAGGACACGAACAAATGAAAGAACATTCCATGCTCATGGATAGGAAGAATCAATATTATGAAAATGGCCACACTGCCCAAAGAAATTTATAGATTTAATGCTATACCCATCAAGCTACAATCGACTTTCTTCACAGAATTGGAAAAAACTACTTTAAAGTTCATATGGAACCAAAAAAAAGCCCGCATTGCCAAGACAATCCTAAGCAAAAGAACAAAGCTGGAGGCATCACGCTACCTGACTTCAAATTATACTACAAGGCTACAGTAACCTAAACAGCATGGTACTGGTACCAAAACAGAGATTTAGACCAATGGAACAGAACAGAGGCCTCAGAAATAACACCGCACATCTACAACCATCTGATTTTTGACAAACCTGACAAAAACAAGCAATGGGGAAAGGATTCCCTATTTAATAAATAGTGCTGGGAAAACTGGCTAGCCATATGCAGAAAGCTGAAACTGGACCCCTTCCTTACACCTTATACAAAAATTAATTCAAGCTGGATTAAAGTCTTAAATATAAGACCTAAAACCATAAAAACCCTAGAAGAAAATCTAGGCAATACCATTCAGGTCACAGGCATGTGCAAAGACTTCCTGACTAAAAGACCAAAAGCAATGGCAACAGAAGCCAAAATAGACAAATGGGACCTAATTAAACTAAAGAGCTTCTGCACAGTAAAATAAACTATCAGTAGAGTGAACAGGCAACCCACAGATTGGGAGAAAAAATTTGCAATATATCCATATGACAAAGGGCTAATATCCAGAATCTACAAAAAACTTAAACAAATTTACAAGAAAAGGACAAACAACCCCATCAAAAAATGGGCAAAGGATATGAACAGACCCTTCTCAAAGGAAAACATTTATGTAGCCAACAAACTTATGAAAAAATGCTCTTCATTGCTGGTCATTAGAGAAATGCAAAACAAAACCACAATGAGATACAATCTCACACCATTTAGAATGGCGATCATTAAAAAGTCAGGAAACAACAGATGCTGGAGAGGATGTGGAGAAATAGGAACACTTTTACACTGTTCTTGGGAGTGTAAACTAGTTCAACCATTGTTGAAGACAATGTGGCGATTCCTCAAGGATGTAGAATCAGAAATACCATTCAACTCAGCAATCCCATTACTGGGTATGTACTCAAAGGATTATAAATCATCCCAGTATAAAGACACATGCACACATGTGTTTATTGCAGCACTGTTCACAATAGCAAAGTCTTGGAACCAACCCAAATGCTCATCAATGATAGACTGAATAAAGAAAATGTGGCACATATACACCATGGAATACTATGCGACCACAAAAAAGGATGAGTTCATGTCCTTTGCAGAGACATGGTTGAAACTGGAAACCATCATTCTCAGCAAAATAACACAAGAAGAGAAAACCAAACACCATATGATCTCACCTCATAAGTGGGAGTTGAACAATGAGAACACATGGACACAGAGAGGGGAGCATCACACACCAGGGCCTGTCAGGGGGTGGGGGACTGGTGGAGGGATAGCATTATGAGAAATACCTATTGTAAATGATGAGTTGATGGGTGCAGCAAACCAACATGGCACATGTATACCTATGTAACAAACCTGCACGTTGTGCACACGTACCCCAAACTGAAAGTATGATAAATTAAAAAAATAAATAAAAAAGAAAAATAGCTGGAAAACATTAAAAAAAGATGATCTTTAAAAAAGACAATTTCATGTTATATTAAAAACTGGTGGGTGCTATAGAAAATACAAAACACAGATCAGGCTTAAGTAATAGTGGAAGGGCCAGGAAAGTAGTGGCACATGCAATATCAAATAGGAAAGTTAGTCTACTCCTCTCTGAAAATATGAAATTTGAACAAAGATTTGAAGAAGGTAAAATAGCCAAAGGGATATATGACTCACATGTATAAATAATAAAACTAGATGTTGTTAAGTACAGATTAAAGGGAGGCAGAGAAGAATCGATGATGTCTTGAGAGATAATGGTGGCTCTAAATAGATGGTAACTATAACAGTGTTGAACCTACCTTATATATATTTTAAAAGTATAAAAGATAGGATTTGCTAATATTTCACATATGAGGTGACAAAGGAAGAGTAGATAATTGTGACTCCAAAATTTTTGGCCATCCATGGAGCAAAGGTGGGCTTTAAATATAACAAGAAAATATTTTGAATTCAGTTTTTTATTGTTGAGTATGAGGAATGTTTTATCCATCTGACTTAAAATGTGCAGTAAATAGATAGATCTTTGTTTAGAGTTCAAGGGAGGCCTGGGCTGCTGAAATACATTTTGAATTTGTGAACAAAGAGATGGCATATAAAATTATTAGAATAGATAGGATCACCACAGGAGAAAGCATAGATAGCAAAGAGGACCCAAAAGTGGAGCTGGAAAGAATTCCAACGGAGGTTTGGGTAGAAACGAATATACCACCGTAAAACACTTGGAAAGAACAATCAATGAGATGAGAGCAAAACCAAGAAGGTTTTTTTTTTTTTTTTTTTTTTTTTTAGAAGAGTGCACTGATGTGATCTAGAGCTTAGACCCAACAAAAGAGTGAAAGACAGGGCTAAGTTAGTGAGAATCAAGAATTAAAAATCGTGATTGTGAGTGAGCTAGTAGAAAGAAGCTGATGATCAAACAACAGAATATGTCACATTTAAATTATAGAACTAGTACAGTAATTGCAATTGTAATGTCTATAGTATAATCATGTGAATAACAAGGATGAAGTAGGGAAATGGAAAAAAATCATTTATAGGAACAGAGTTCCAGGAACTGAATGGCTAGGATTTTGAAATTGTTATTTCTATATATTGAAACTTCCATGAATTGTTTAGTGATATTTGAGAAAGTGACAGTGGGACGGTAGCTACAATCAGAAAATGAAGGGTGAGGCTGAGCACTGTGGTTCATGCCTGTAGTCTCAGTGTTCTGAGAGCCTGAGGCAAAGGGATACCTTGAATCCATGAGTTTGAAAACAGCCTGAGCATCACAGCAAGACCAATCTCTACAATTTGTTTTTTAATTAACTGGTGTCATATGCCTGCATTCCCAACTACTCAGGAGGCTGAGCTGGGAAAATGGCTTGAGTTCAGGAGTTCAAGGCTGCAGTGAGCTATGATCATGCTACTGCACTCTAGCAGTAGCAAGACATAGTCTAATAAAAATAAAAATAAAAAATAAGAAAGGAAATTAAAAAATGATGTCCTGGGGATACTCGGATGATAACATAATTAGCTATAGTAGCTGATACAGTATTTTAACCTGAGATTCAAAGCTGAAGATTTTTGGAAAGATGGTTGTATTCTTTATATTTTGCTGTAAAATCAATACATCAACAAAATTAGCATCTTAAAATCACAGCAAATATTTATTATCTGAGAGTTTCTATTGGTGAGAAAATTGAGCACTTTGCTGAATGCTTCTGCCTTGGGAATACTCTCAAAATGTTGCAATCTTCATGAGCTATGACTGGTCATCAGTTTCTTTACTGAGCCTGTGAGATTTACTTCTTAGGTTGCTCATTCATAGGGTTTGCAAGTTGATTCTGGTGATTGAAGGGAGGTCTGTTTCTCAACACATGGATTTCTCTTTAAGGGTAGTGGAGTATCCTCACAACACTGCAGCCAGATTCAGAGCAAGCGATTCCAGAGAAAGAAAGACAGAAGAGCAATGTCTTTTATGACCTATCCACACTCACTCATCACCCACAATAATGTATTGATTACCAATGATGCCTTATTCAATATGGGAGGAAATACACAGAAGTGTGGTTGCCAGGACATGAAAATTACTGGAGATGATCCTTGAGTATGGCTTCTAAAAGGGTGGAAATGGAATCAAAATATTGTACTAGAAATAAAAAAATATATATCTAGTTGACTTCCAAGCAGAATGATATGAGAGCTTTGAGAAAAATAAAAGTAAAGTCACCACTGTGGGGAAAAAAAAAGCCATCACTGACAGATACTGCAAGAGAATTTATCCATTAATTAGTATATATTGGTGAACAGCTGGTTTGCAATTTGAGCAAAAGAATGAAGTACTCATGTAATGTGTTGGTGATGGCAGCTGGCGGCTCATCAGGAGTGGCCACTCTGAAGATGCTAGATGTAATGGGGGCGATGCAGCCACGGTTGCAAGGTCTGCATGGGTGGCAGGAGCCAGGAACAGGCAGTTTCCCTGACACCTACTGAATTGGCAAGATGGGAGCCCAGTGCTTCCAGGTGCAGCTGCAGCCACCCAGCCGTGCTCTGGACCCAGGCATTTCTGAGTTCTCAGGAACACAGAAATCCCCCCTCCCACCACAGACTCCGAAGTGTCTGCTCCAGCTCCCTGGCCTGTCCCCGCTTCAAGCACCTGCACTGGTGTGGAGCTAAGTTGTAGCCAAACCCGGGCACTGTCTTGACCCGACCGGGTGAGCCACGACTCAGGGTGGCACTGACATGCCAGCACCCACCCTGCCACCCTGGTGCCCTATGGACTTTGGACGCTGGCAAGCATGGGAGTGAGGCTGGGGGCCTGAGGGTGGCTCAGCATGAACCTGTAGGCACCCCTCAGCATGGACAGGCTGGGTGTCACAGACAACATGTTGATGGTGGGGAGCAGACAGATTCCTGGGAGGAAGAAAGGGGTGGGTGCCCAGTGAGACCCCACTTTCAAGCCAGGGTTGACCTGAAGCTTGGGGGACAGGCTGCCAATTCCAGGAGGAGTCTGGCTGGGTGTGAGAAATTATGGTGCTTTTCCCAGGCCGCCCATGGCTTCCCCTGGACCAATCAGCATGCTCTTTCTCCCTTTTGAGACCATAAAAACCATGTACTCAGCCAGACTCACACATAATGTCAGGGCTATCAGCTGCAGAAAGGAGCTACCCACTTTGGGTCTCCTGAAAGCTGTTCTGTCACTCAATGAAGCTCTTCACCACCTTGCTCACCCTTCAGTTGTCTGCATACCTCATTCTTTCTGGATGCTGGACAAGAACTCAGGATCTGCCCGATGGTGGGGCTGAAAGAACTGTAACACAAACAGGGCTGAAACACATACCCTTCCCCACCCCCACTGCTCCCTGACTCACCACCTTGCAGGCAACAAGAGGAGAGAAGAGCTGCGGCCTTTTGGAGAGCCCAGACCTAGGGCGACCCTGACCCAGGGCTGTCACTTTCTTTGGTGCTCTGTGGTTACTGGAATCTCCAAGCTTCTGAGTGCCACCATGTTCCTGGTGCCTGTGGTGGAATCTGCTTATGGTACACCTGGTCCAGCCAAAGCTTCGCACGAAGATGGCATCTGTACTGGCGCCTGGAGCTTCCCGCCCCACCACAGCCGGCATGCCTGGTTGTGCACCATGGCCGGACCCTGGACTCACTCACTTAACCCTGTCCACTCTGTGCCTGGCTTGCCCTTGGCAGTCATGGATCTGGGCCAGTAGTGTGAGCGGAGCACAGGCTGCCAGGCTGAATGGGTGGAATAATAAGACCAGCAGCCCGAGCAAAACTCGGGCCAAGGCACCACTGGCCACAGAGGTTTCCAGCTGGAAAAGCGACACCCTAAGGATCCTGTGACATAGACAATAAAAAAAAGTATGTTTAACAAGATCTGAAACATAACTGTTATACATAGCAGTGAAAATCAGTGGTAGAGTGAAAGAATGTGAGGAGACAAGACTGCAAACGGAAAAATAATAGGGATGCACAAAGCTTTGTTGGGATTAGGATGTGGAGATCCAGTGGTAACCTGACAGCCTGAGGGTTTTTTTTTTGTGACTAACATAAACAAAGACATAATAAGAGTAGTCTCGGTAGATTCATCGCAGAGTTGTGGCAAGACTTTGACTACTACGGGATAGGGCACGGTGAGTTTCGGGAGTTTTCTCTAAGTCCATCATAGGTGGAAGTCCAAGGAAAAGGAAGATGCAAGTCGCGGTACTCAGGCTTCCCTTAAGTGACAGGTTTTAAGTTTCAGGGAGATGTGGGTTTAATCCCAGTGTTCTCTAGTAGGACAGTTTCTATTATACCCATGTGTGGGTCTCTGCTTCAACCCTGAAGATAGCATTAAAGGAAAAAACAAGAAAAAAAAAAGTCTTTTTTAGTCCAATTGTTTTGTAATCTCTATTGTTATTTCACTTTACATAGAAAATATTGTCGGGAGTGTATATTTTTAAGTTCCCAAAAATATTAGAGGATTGTACAAAATGTTCATTCCAGATTTTTAATTGTATAACATTGAGTATTAAGAAAATAATTTGTATAGTGGTGACTATTATTATTATTATTTCTTATAACGTTGTCATTTTGTGTCCAGACACATCATCCACTTCTGAAAAGATGCACACATATCACGTATACATCCACACAAATTATGTATTATATATTATAATATAAAATATATTTTATACCAAATATAACATTATATGTAATATGCATTTAAACTACATGCTTTACTATTTAATTCATGTTGTAAATAATTAGTATTCTACTGCTGATTCTTTTTGAGAAAAAATCAAATATTATCTTAGATATACTTTCATTAAATTACAAAATTCATGCTTTATTAATTATAATCTATTATAGAAGGTCTGCAGCAATGAATGCCTTTTCATTTTTTCTATTTTTTTGTGAATGCTTTTTATATCTTGGTAGATTGTTCTATATATATTAGATGCTATCCTTCTTTATTCCTAGTCATACTATTCTACTTAAATTCATGTATTATTATATGTCATCTTTCTTTTATAGAATTATCTTGTGTCTTGTTTTGCTATTCCTTTCTAAATTGTATACCTTTCTAAATCATTATGGTTTAGGGGAGGCTCTGAAATAGTATAAAGCTGTAATTTTAAAAAATATTAACACAATTTATGAGTCTTTAAATAATTGATATAATAACTTTGCATTGATTATGATTACTAATATATTTGGAGTTATTTATATTATTTCTATGGTGTTTTCTATTGACTACATTTCCCTTTTCTTTTTTCCTTTTCTCCTTTATGTCAGTTGAGTGGTTCTCAAGTGAGGCCATTTTTGATTGTCACAGTAGTTCCAACAGGGAGAGAGGTAGTACTGGCATCAGGTGGGTACAAGCTAGAGATGGTATTCAACATCTTTCGATGCACAGGACAACCCCACACAACCAAGAGATTTCCTGCCTTGAGTGTCCATATGCGAAGGTTAAGAAACCCTCTTCTAAATATGTGTCTTCTTTATTCTATTCATTTCTCTTAATTTATTAACATGGAGTAGACTTTTTATTTATATTATTTCACTGAGTTAATAGATATCTTTTTTCTCCTATACTGCTAAGAAAATCATCTGCAGACATCTGCAGACATTAAAATTTAATTCAGCAACTTATCTCATTTTCATATGGTTTTAAAAATTTTGGTTCTACCTGATTTTTAATCACCCAACACTAAGTTATTGCCAATATTCATAGACAGTAGCTATTTGTATGTGTGTATATATATATTTATATGTTTTACCATTTTATCATTTTATTTACTTATATCCCCTTTCTTCCCTGTTTCTTCTTTCCTATATTGCTGAGGTAGATCTATTAGTAGCTCTTTCAGTAGAGATAGATGGATGGCAATTTTTATATTCATAGTAGTTTCTCTTCAGCACTTTGAGTCTCTTATTTTACTATCTTCTGGGACCTGTGATACATGTATTATTCCTTTGCAAGTAATTTGTTATTTGTCACTAATGACTTTAAAAATATATTTTTTACTTACTAGCAGTAATTTTGATACAATGTGTCTTAGTATGGATTAGATTTTTGTTTACCCTGCTTGGGACCCTTTGTAGATGTTGTTATCGTTGTTTAATTGGATAATCAATTAAGCCAGTTCTAGAAAATTATTGATATTGTCTTCTGAAAAAATTCCTTCTTCAAATCGTATCTTACTTTCTGCATGGATTATTAGAAACATAATAAACCTTGCTATATCCCTATACTTCAAATCAGATTTCATATATTTCTCCTAGTATCTCTGCAGAATTACAACATTTTTCTGAGTACATATTTTACATCACGAGCTTTTTCCTCACCTGTTTCGAATTTTTAATTCTCCATTAATTGCTTTTTCTTCCAAAGTTCATGATTTTGGGAATTATAAAGCTGGAACTTCTGTTTTTGGCTTCATCATATATGCCTATTTTAATTTTTGTAATGTTCCCTTTGTTCTTGATGGATTTTTTTTTTAATTCTTTTGACACTTTTCAACTCATAGTCACAAAATGGCTGCTGAACAATATTCAGCCTTATATACACATTATAGCGGGTAATAAGATAAATTAAACTCCACAATCTGAAAGTGGTCTATCTTTTAAAAGTATTATGTTGCAATCCCAAACCCATTGTGGCACCAAGACCAAACATAGAAAAAGGGAGCTGTGGTTTATCACAGTAATTTCTTTCAGAAACAGAGACCCAAGAACTATGCAGGCACTTAGAGAAGTGGATGTGAGTTGCAATGGGTAGAGTGTGGCAGCCATGGAAGTGTTCAGATCTCTTCTAGAACCTTTTATGGGAAGCATAGCTGCCCATCAGCCTCCCACTGCTGCCTATATTGGTTCTATTACAGCATTCAGATGAAGGCTCTGCTTCCACTAGACTGCCCTTAGCCAAAGACCGAATATGGTATGAAATACTAGAATCATCCAGTTCTGTGCCCAGTTCAGGACTTTTTCAAAGGGCAGTCTATTGGTCTAACCAAAACTTTCTCAGAACTGGGTTGTAGACAGAGTCTTTTCCTACCTAGTTTTTCCTTTTACAATTGTCAGACTTACCCAGGGTCTGAAGACCCTTTACACTTACTCCTGCCCCATGCCTGGCTCCCTGCTTATTTCTTGGAGTGTGTAAAGGCACTTTTATTTCATTTTTGGAAATGTTGTCTATGAGATTTTGATCTTCTATATATTTGCTCTAAATGGATTTTCCAAGACCCCCCAATCTAAAGCATTCTTGTCACAGGGTCCTTAGGGTGTCACTTTTCCAGCCGGAAACTTCTGTGGCCAGTGGCACTTTTACTTGCGTTTTCCTTGGTCTTGCTGGGCTCATTCAACCCACTCAGCCTGGCTGGCAGTGTTCTGCTTGTGCTACTGGCCTGGATGCCATGCCTGCCAAGAGTGAGCCAGGCACAGAGTGGTGAGGAGTGTGTGAGTGAGTGCAAGGTCTGGCCACTGCACACAGCCAGGTGTGCTGGCTGTGGCAGCGTGGAAAACTCCAGGTTCTGGCACAGACACCAGCTCTGCAAAAGGGTGCAACTGGACCAGGTGTACCACAAGTGATTTCCACTGCAGGAACCGGGGAACATGGTGGCACCTGGAAACTTACAGACACCAGGAACTGCAGAGCTGCAAAGAAGGTGTCATAGCTTTAGCTACGTTCTGGGATCCCCAAAGGGCTGCAGCTCTTCTCTCCTCATCACTTGCAATGTGGTGAGCAGGGGGTGTGTTTCAGCCCTGTTTGTGTTACAGCTCTTTCAGTGCTGCCATTGGGAGGATCCTGAGTTCTTGTCCCACATCCAGGAAGAAGGAAGTATGTGGAAAACTGGAGGATGAGCAAGGTGGAGAGGAGCTTCATCGAGTGACAGAACAACTCCCAGGAGACCTGAAATGGGTAGCTCCTTTCTCCATGCAGGTCCTGACAAGTGTCCAGCTGTCAGTGGAGAAGCAACCCACAGTAGGGAGCTCCTTTCCACAGGCAGGTGATTCCGAAGAGTCAAGGAGACCCAAAGTGGGCAGCTCCTTCCAGCTGCTGGTAGTCCCAACCTCTTTGTGAATCAGGCTATGTCTTGGGTTTTTATGGGTTCAAAAGGGAGGAAGTGTGTGCTGATCGGTCTATAAACAACCATGCATGGGCCTGGAAAGTTCACCATAAGTTTTCACTCCAAGTAGCAGACTCCACCTGAAACTGGCAGCCTGGCCCCCAGGCTTCAGGCCATCACTGGTTTGAAGGTAGGGGACCCACCTCTTTCCATCCAGGAATCTCTGTCTGCCTTCCATCATCAACATGTCTTCTGTGGAGTCCAGGCTTTTCGTGCTGAGGGGTGCCTGCAGATCTGCACTGAGCCGCCCTCAGCCCCCCAGTCCCCCTCCCACGCTCTTTGGTATCCAATGCTCAGCAGGGACTGAGGCAGCGGCAGGTCGGCTGGTGCATCAGTGCTGTCCCAATTGCATGCACACCAGGCCAACAGCACCTGGGCTCAGCTACAACTTTGCTCCACACTGGAGTGGGCGCCAGGAGTGGGGAGAGGCCAGGGAGTAGGAGCAGGCACTTCCAAGTCTATGGAGGCAGGGGAGTTCCTGAGGCTCTGAGAGTACAAGGATGCCCAGGTTCAGAGCAGTGGCTGGGCAGCTGCAGCTGCGCCCAGGAGCGCAGGGCTCCTCCCCCACCAACTTGGTAAGGAGCATGGCTCCTTCCTGTTCCCAGCCCCTGCCAGCTCCAAGGAGCACGCAGCCCTGGCGTTGCCTCCCCTTCTGCAGCCGGCATCCTTGCAGTAGCCACTACAGACGGGTCATCAGCACCATCACTATCACTGCTATCTTATTCCCTAAATTCAAACAATGAAAGTTTACCAGGGAATTTCTTGTTTTTTTATTAGCTATATTAATTATATAATAGACTTTTTCTAAACAAATATTGAGGTGTATAAATCTACAAGTTATTTAGTAATTATAGAGAAAATACAGGAAATGTGTATCCTAGAAAACTACTTCTAAGCATAGCTGTAAGCAATTAAAAGAGAAACTGGGTTTGAGAAAGTTGATAGTATAATTGCAAGAATATCAATAACTTTAATGTGTTAACAGGATTAATTTATATATATAAATCATTTGTTAGACAATTTTGTCAGAGCTGATAGTAAAAGTATAAGTTAGATGGCAGCCTGCATGAGGCTGTGCCAGGCTGCTTGAAGGTGCCCAGCACAGTTGGGAACCCAGGCCAACTTCCCCCGGATGTGTGGCTCCATGTGGGGGCAATGGAGCTGAAGCCTGAGCTGCTGCTGCATGAAGCTCATGAGAACGTGGAGGTGACACGGAGCTCCAGGCGGGAGCTGGGGGAGGCACAGAGGCAGATCAAGGAGTGTGCACCACAGACAAAGGATGTTCTCAAACAGCATTTTAATGATTTAAAGGGAACCCTTGAGGAGCTCCTGGATGAGCGATTGGTGACCCTTTAGTAAGAGGTGGACATCATTGAGCAGGAGACCATTAAACCATTAGATGACTGCCAGAGGCTCATAGAACATGGAGTCAACACTGCAGAGGACTTAGTCTGAGTAGGTGAGATTGCCATGGTTGGTAGTGTAGAAGAGAATGACAAACTGCATAGCTTTGCCGAAAAGGTCTCACACATTCAGTTGGACAGCTTACCAGAAGTACCTTTACTGGTTGATATGCTTTGTTTATCTGCTCAGTTGGATGACTCAATTCTTATAGTAAAAGACTACATTTCTAAGCATGGAACAGTAGCATCTCTCCCACCAGTACAGATATAAGAACTGAAACAGAAACCTGGAGTCATCACAGTAGGATGGTGTAAGGTGGATGATGATTTTACAGCCCAAGATTATAGGCTCTAATTTTGCAAACGTACTTCAAATCATTATGAGGATGTACATGTAGGTTCTGAAACTCAATTCATAGTACTGCACATGGACTCCAATTTTGATTATCAGTCCAAAGTCTGCACCTGAGGAGATGGTCAACAGGACTGGAGCCCTGAAGTGTCCCCCAGATAGGTCATTTCACATTGGTGCCTCATGAGTGGACAGCTGGTTTTGAGGGGTACAGTCTGAAAGTCGAAGTAATATTGCATTCTGGAATGATTCTCAATCCTCAGGTGTTCTCTACTCTAGAACTCCAACTTATTTCTGTGGGCAGACATTAACATTCAGAGTTGAAACTGTGGGACAGAAGATACAGTATGGGGTGTTTGCAGAAAAACAGAATGGATATGACTCTCTGCAGCAGGATCAAGCTATATGTATGAGTACAAATGGTGAAGTTTTTGTTAATGGAAAAGAAATGACTAATGAGTTAACTTCAGTTACTTCTGTGTGCACTGTCACATTTGACACTGAAGCTGTCACTCTAGGAACCACCAATAATAATGAAGGCAGGAACTTCAAGCTTCGAGTAACAATTAGCTCAAATAACAGAGAAGTGGTTTTTAATTAGTTACTCGATCAATCTTGTGGTTCTCTTTACTTTGGATGCCCATTTTTCTATCCTGGATGGAAAATATTAGTGTTTTAGATGTTTGTGTGCTTCGCTTTGGTTTTCAGGGTTTAACGTAGTTGGTCTTCAGCCCAGTTTAGTTTTAATTTTTTTTTTTTTAAAGTAGTTGCACTCATCTCTCACTTAAGCTATTGGAAATAGAAAATATTTACTGAATTCATTTCATAATATTTTAACAAAAAGAGACTTGAATGTTGGGGAAAATCTTGTAATTCAGTCAATTTTATTTTTAGCATACTGTTAACTAAAATATCACGTCATAATAGAAATCCAATTGACTTTAGAAGTATGAGAAGATATAGAAAGTTCTTACCCTTCCATCGCGTTTCTTAAAGTTGGTTATTAGACTAGGAAAACAATGTAATATTATTTTTTAAACCATCTTAAAAGATCCAAGTCCATGTAAATCTTTAGAATAAAACAAGAGAAACAGACCACATAGTAGAAGTTATGTGATACACATTCATTCATATGCTGTCCACCTGAATTTATTGGCAATACTCTCCATGTTCAGGTACTTATAAGCAGTGTTGACTTTTATCCCATCTTCAATAATTTTTAAGTCCCCCAAACATTCTAATTTTTGCATTTTTAAAATGCCTGAGTAAATGTCTATTATAGGCAAGTATTATCTTTTGTTCTTTTATTGCAATTTGATTCAAGACAGACTACACTATTTTCATAGGGTCAAACTACCTATGGAAGTAGTATGCACAGCAGTGTTAGCCATTTCACATGTATGTAATATGCACATGTGTGTATCTAGCCTGTGACATAATTTTACTTTTTTGGAGTGTGAGCTGCAGTCCAGTTTAATGTCAGTTGATAAATGGTCACTTAGCGGACCAAAAAAATATGGGGCAAATACTTAACTTAATTTTTTGAAAACTTAAATTTGTGTGTAAAAATTTACTTGAAAAGTTAATATGTAAAAATAAGAATCTTAACATGCTATACCGGCCTACAAATTTTATTTTACTGTGAATTCTTTTTTCATTTTTACCAATAGTAAAAAAGTAGAAAAGCAAGTATGACCTTATTGTAAGATAATTTATTTGTGGATTCATGTTCCCTGTTAGACAATCATGACCTTTTCTCCTTGTCTTTTTATGTATAAGTAAGTAGAAGCTCACTTGTTTAAGGATTAAGAAGCTTTCCAGAATGTAGGTACCTTGTCCATCGATCTGAATCAAAATAAATAACTAAAAGTTCAAAAAAATAAGTAATTTGGCAACATTCTAAATAGGAACAAAAATGTAAATAAGAGGAGTCATAATATATTTCCTTTTCATTCTAGGATATAAAAGTTCTGTATAAATTTCAGTATTAGTCTATGAGTTAGTAGTTAGCAATATCAATTGCAGAATGAACTTTTCTTACATTAGCAAACCTTGCTAATTCTAAAAGTGAAGATAGGTATTAAAATTGTAGTACAAAGAGTATTAGTATCGATGAGTAACTGAAATGTAACATCCTCTATTTTAGCAAGTTATACATACAGTGTTCATTGTTACGTGTATTTTCTAGGAAGAAAGAAAATAGGCATATCCAATTGGAAATTCTGCAACATAAAACATAATTCTGAAATAAAGGGAAATGACATTATAAGAATTCAAGTCATTTTGACTGAGAGAGGTAAAATAGAGGAAATTTCTAAGTAACAGAGAGCAGTTAAAATTGTCCTTAGAGAACTGTAACTTACATGACTGGCACTTAAAAGAGAAATAGTAATTTGTGTAGACACTGAGTTTCGCAGAGCTATGGGGATAATGTATCTTTTCAATCTCAAATATTATTTAATTTTGGATGCTATGTTTTTCCTGTAATATTAACTCTTCATACCATTTTTCCTCAATGACCTTGACCACCGTGTGGGAAATAATAAACCTTATCTTCCTATCATCTTA
The DNA here is from genome assembly GCF_000001405.40 of Homo sapiens. NCBI lineage: Eukaryota > Metazoa > Chordata > Mammalia > Primates > Hominidae > Homo > Homo sapiens. The sequence continues at coordinate 99,946,403 of NC_000005.10, read as the reverse complement.
TGTCTTGAAGGGTTTGGTAATTTATCTTGGAGGGATGTCAGAGCAAAATGTCCTTATCATTATTTGAAAGGTGTATCACAAAACCACTAATGCTACACTAGGCAGATGTGAAACCAAGTGAAACCATGAATTATTTTAGGTAGCAGAATATTTTAGGATGCAGTAAGATAGCCTAGTTTCTGTTTCCATCCAGGTGTATTTTGTGAGAGCAAATGCATAGAGAGGTCTATGAGACAAAAGGCAAGTTAATCTGAAACTTAGTGTTGATTTCTTTACATTTAAGAATTTGTTTTTACAATTGCATGCAGAGGTTAGCTCACTATTTCATCATGTTAAAAACACCGTATGGCACGTCACTAATTACTAATTCATTAGTTTTTGATTACCAAATTTCTCACTTCATAGCCTTTAGGTAGTGTAGTTTTTGCGATAGCTTTCGGAAGTCCTTGTTTCCTCCAGTATGTATTGCTGACTGCCTTATTTTGAAACAGAAACACGTAAGTGCTTGGTACTTCAGCCCTTTGCCTTTATAACCATTGCACCTTGTAACTTACCTCTCTGTGACAGGAGACGGTCTTACTTCCATAGTATGATTCAGGAAGAGGCTTTTTGAACCTTCCTAGAGGGTAAGAAATCCTTTGTTCTTACAGTTCCAAGTGAAAATGGACCACCTCTGAACCTCCTTACACTTCGGACTTGAAAGGAGATCAGGGGAATTCCTAGGTAACACCATCTGCCGTCTTCTCTTTCCTCTTTATTGACCCATCAACAGAACCTGCCACAAAAGCCATTGTGAGTGGTATTGCAAAAGGCAGATTTACAGGGAAGCTAGAGAAACTTAAACTTCAAGGCCCCTCTTTTGCAAGCATCACTTCTAAGGCCCTGAGTGGGGCGGGCGGGCGGGGGGGGTGCTATAAATGTGTTCACATTGGCATCATTTTTGAAAATTTGTAATAGTAAGATTTTTTTTCTCATTCTTTAAAATTGCCTCTCAGATTGAATAGGCTTTAAGTTCAGCAAAACTTTTATCCGCTTCTGGCAATCTTTGAGTACTTATGGGCACAGGAAGAAGGAATCAATAATAATGATAATAAAATTGTTGAGCTAGATGGAGCTTTATACTTCAGCTACTTCAACTCCTTCCTACTAAAGATGAAAGAATTAAGGTTTCATCTTAGTGATGAACTTCAGTGACATGACTGAAGTCACAGAGCTTGTCAGCTACAGAATTAGTACTAGAATTCAGTTGTTTAAATCACAACTGGTGCTCTTTAGAATATACTACTCTACTCCTTAAGAAAGTGTAATCCAAATACAAATAATGGATATCATGTTGTGTTGATTTCGTAATAGAACAAATACTTTAGAGTTTGGTGTATGAAGATTATTTCCAGTACCGACACTTGCTAATGAGAGAAATTTTCATACTTACACTTAAAAATGTTATGTGGCAATGACATCTGTTCCACAAAATTGTTGTAAGGCTGTATATTGGAATTTGCTAAGAAAATGAAAAATTATCCAACTGGCACACTAGGCTGACAAATCGCCTAACTGGCAACTAGCTATTCCCAGCTGAACATAAACAATGCTCATAGATATAAGACATAAGCAAGATTATCTTCCAGACCAAATATATATATATATAAATTCCTCACTTTTGATCAACATCACTGAGTGCTGCATTACCAATGGTAACTCTAATCCACTTTAATCCACTCACCAACTATAGAGAAATCTTTACAAAATTCACTTATTTGAATTACCCCCAGTTTTTTGACATCTTATTCATATTTTTCCCTTAAGCCATACTTTTTCATTCAACATATCAAAATTATATTTACAATTTCCTCCTATACCCTCTTATAGAGACGCCCAAGGGCCTGGAATATGTCCCTTGCTCAAAACAGTTAAATAAATCGACTTTATTCACTTATTTATTTTTGTTGCCTTTAGGTATGCTTCTGGTTGTCTTCGAGCAGTAGGCTTGTACAGTCCTTAGAAAAAAGTCACTCTAGAAAATTTCTCCCAGCACATAGAAATGATAAGTACTCAAGCTGATGAACACTCTAAATACCTTGGCTTGATCATTACACATTCTATGCATGTAACAAAATATCACATGTGCCCCATGAATATGTACATATGTGTACCAATAAAAAATTAATTATTTCTTTTTTGCTTTTCTGGTCAACTTCTGCTTTCTTCTTACTTTTTTTCAATGCTTCACTCGTAATTTAAGAGTTTGGATTAGTCTGGGTGGCTTTCTGCTTTCTTATGATCTTGTTTCTGCCCAGGTCAGGGTCTTCCTGTTCACTGTTTTCTTATCCACTGTCCTTACGGTGTTCTTGATTAGTACCTCATATACTTCACTTACTTAAAAATTTTTTGTATGTCCTTTTGTTAAGTAAGATTTTTTTGTTCATAGATAGTCTGTCTGTGAAAATTTTTACTTTACTTATCATATACTCTTTACATTCCTTACTTTTTCTCTGAGAAAATAATAATCACAAATTATATTTCTGAATATCTCTCATTGAATTCCAAGCAATCTAAAGTTATAATTGCCACTCTTTGTCTTAACAAAATGAATCTGCTAAAAATGAGGAGCCAATTTAAAAAATCTATTTCAGTGACTATCATAACATATTATATTCTAGAAAGAGCTCAAAGTAGTGAAATGAGAACTAATATGATGTATATTAGGTAATGTTATTTTTCTTTTAAACTCTGAGTTGCCAAAAACTAAATGTGACGCTTGTAACAGATATAAAATTTCACTGTAGTAATTTCATTTTTCATTTCTATAGATACTGAGTGTCAACTCCTCCACCTTCAAAACTTCCTCTCATTCTGGTAATAAAGGAAAAAATAAAAATGTGTCAAACTAGATAAATCATAAAATTGTTTCTAGTTATTTTTTAAATATATATTGCTACATTTTAAGATATTTTACATTTATTTGTGTAATTAACTATATACCTATGTAAAATACAAACTGAACAAAATGATTGTGAAAATTGCTTTTCCAAGTTTCATAATTACTCTTTTCAAGTTATCCAACCACAGTTGATAGCACTGATTATTATTATAGCATCTTCTGGTTATACAAAGAATTTTGAAGTGGCTTTGGGTTGGGGTTTGAATTTTAGGTTTTGTTAGCCTTTTAACAGTCCTGTGCTTTCAGTTAATATAATTATCCAGCTTCACTATTTAAGAAACACAGAATAACTCAAAATTACCATGGTTAAATGCTCTAATTGAGTGCATGGCCAATTTAAATGCCGGGCATTACTTAGGATAAGTTCAAATTAGTACTCATCATTAAAGCAGGAAAACTTGAATCTGAACATGGAAAGGATCACAAGATTAAGGAGATCTCTACACTAATGTTAGTAGAATAAGATAAATTTAGAGGCACCTGTCAGTTTATTAGCTCATAGGAGGCAGATGCTTTTCTAGCTCATTTACTTTTGTATTCCATGTTTTGACTAGCACATGGTACATAGTAAATGTAGCATGTTTAATTGAATGAAAAAAGAAAATTAACGAGAACAAATAAATTTTAATGTGAATTTAATTCATAGTATACTTTTCATCTATATAGAGGAATGGCACATGAACGCAATCCCTACAAAGACTAACTAGAGATAACAATTTAATAGAAGACAAATAATACAATTTATATAATCTTACAGTCAATAACTTTGTAGTTTTAAAGCTAAATTTTTGTTTTGTAAAAGCATAATATATTACAAACATTTTTCCTTAATTACATTTTAAAACATTTCTTGCACTTAAATATTATCAGTACTTGTGTAATCTTGTTTTATTAAACAAATATGCAATTCAGTAATGCTATAAAATTTATAGGAGGCTGGGTGCAGTGGTTCATGCCTTTAATCCCAGCACTTTGGGAGGCCGAGAGGGGTGGATCACCTGAAGTCAGGAGTTTAAGACTAGCTGGGCCAACATGTTGAAACCCCATCCCTACTAAAAATACAAAAATTAGCTGGGTGTGGTGGCGCTTGCCTGCAATCCCAGCTTCTTGGGAGGCTGAGGCAGGAGAATCACTTGAACCCAGGAGGCGGAGGTTACAGTGAGCCAAGATCTGGCCACTGCACTCCAGCCTGGGTGAAAGAGCTAGACCACATCTAAAAAAAAAATTATACTAGACAAAAAATTATGCCAAACTAATAATGAATTTAAAAGATGGTTTGGGTTCTGGAAAAAAAAAGAGAGACACCATATGTATTTGGTATTTACAGTGGCTGCATTTAGGATTATTTCACAGATACCTTAAGACATATAACTAGTTCATTGACTTTTTATTGTCTTAAGTTTGAAAAAAAATAAGTCAACCTTGAGAATGACTCAGTGAAAATAGTCAATAGATTGCTGACCATCTTCTATCTTTTTTTCTCAAGCAAATCAAGAAAAAACAAACAACAATGATAAAACCTGTCATTGAGCTCCCAAGCAAAACAAAAAGCAAGCAAAATATTATGTAGCAAAGTAACAAAATGATTACTTTATTTTAGAGTATATTTAATATGATTTCACATGAAAGAAAACACATTTTAATAAAATAGTTATTACTAATTTTTTCAACTACAAAAAGCACTGAAGTACTCTTTCCACAAGAACAGAATAAATAAGGTGATATTTATATTATTTTCCTATGTGACAAATGCTTTAATGCTAATTACATTTTTATTATATTCCTTATGATTTTTGTATTTTATGGCTATATTTTTCCTCTGAAAGTATTAATATTAGAGAAGAGAGAACTTATACAACTCAAATTTTGTATATTTTTCCTGGAACCAGGAAGATAATAAGTTTCTTGTTTTTACATGAAAGTGAATTGGGAGCCTAAAGTAAGATTTGTGCAGAAAAATGTGTCATAACTTAAAATGGCAATAGCTAAATTCTTGTCAGAAAACATAGCTTCTATAAAGATATACACTGAAAATATTTATGAGAAGGTAGGATATAGAAGTCAGTGTCACACCACCAAAAATGAGAAGGAACTCATGTGAGGAAAGAACATTTTAATTTATCTAATGTCCTTAATATGTACATTTGCAGATTTACCTATTTTTTTTTTTGGCCTCTCAAAGCCTCAGTTTCCTCATTATTTAAGAAATGTATTTAAATAATTTTAAGATTGGCTATATATTAGCTATTAACAACCATGATTTCCCAGTAGTCAAGTTGTAATTGTATTAAAAATTTAGATAACAGTTGATGTTGGAAATAGAGAAAACAGGGAGCATTTACTAGAAAGGGGGCACAGATAAGAATACATTGCTTTTCCAAAATCACCATTACTATCTACTGGTAAGGAGTAAAGTCTAGACTGGACCCTGTAATATTGTCTTAGTGTTGGAGATATAAGTGTGTGTGTGTGTGTGCACGCACTCACACACCCATACCCATATATCTGTGTATGTATATATATTGTTCAAAAAACTTCAGAATTAAATTTCACAATGTTTGAGCAAAGAATAGTTCCTGAATCAGGCAGCACTCAGAGAGGTTCAAAGAGCTCTACCCATCAATGTCAGCATTCAATATTTGCAGAAGAAAAAGGAAGGGACTTAACAAAAACAACTTAATTTGTTACACCTGGGTGTATGCCTTATTTGGGCATGGTATAATTGGAAATTTCCTTATATGGACATAGTCTAATCAGTTGGCAGCCTGTGATTGACTGTATCTTGACTACTGTAATTGTCTGGGACTCAGCTATTTACAAGAATGTCCTTTTAGGTTATGTTGCAGTTAATTTACATACTATGTTAGGTTGCAGTTCACTGCAGTTCACCCATACACACACACATACAAATACATGTATACACACACAGAAACGTATATATATAAATATATATACACACACATACACATACAGAAAAATAGATACTGAAATGAACACACACACATGTATTTGTATACATGAGTTTTTATACACACATATATGCCTTGGCCTCTGTGAAAGGGCCTAGTAACAGTGACACCTCAAAAGCAGCAAGCATACTGAAGCCAAGATCTTGGTTTTTAAGCTCAATCATCTAATCAAATACCTAGGAATTCTTAAAGAAACAGGGATTCTAGAGTTAAAGCAAGAAAAACATAAGTTGAGTCTGTAGCATCTTGCAGAGACAGAAAGGAAGTGCAAAAGAAAGAAGGAAGGAAAGAAGGAACATTCCAAATAATACATGTGAATGAATAAAGCAAATAGAAAATTATCATTAGAATCTTCCACTAATACTTCCTCAAAGAGGTCCACTAATTAATGCTAAAATTTGTGAGTACATTTTAAGGAGAAACAAGATATTTGCACAGTTTCAAATGTATTTAGCCTCCAATGTATTTATTAATGACTGGTAATAACATAAGCTTATGGAAGCAATGAACACTTCCCTCTCGGAGGTGAAGCTTAATTTCTCTCCCCTTGAATGTGGGATGAGCTCAGTTACACACTTACAGTGAATAGAATATGGAAAGAGAAAAATAATTGCACAGTTGCGAAGCCTGGCAGACATAACTCCAGTTGGTGAAGGCTAACCTCATCAATAATCAGTTTAACACCGTGAATTCCTGATATGACGCAATGAGAAGGTCACTTCACTTGTGGGCTATTTTTTCCTTAAATCCATAAACTTACTTTGATAATAAGAAAAACATCTGGCCAGGTGTGGTGGCTCACACGTGTAATCCTAGCATTTTGGGAGGCAGAGGCAGGTGGATTGCTTGAGCATAGGCATTTGAGACCAGCCTGGGCAACATGGCGAGATGCCATCTCTACAAAAAATACAAAAATTATCTGGGCATGCTGGTCCCCACCTGCAGTCCCAACTCCCTGGGAGGCTGAGGTGGGAGGTTCACCTAAGCACGGGAGGTGGAGGTTGCAATGAGCTGTGATCCTGCCAGTGCACTTCAGCCTGGGCAACAGAGCGAGACCCTGTCTCAAAAAACAAACAAACAAACAAAAAAATCAGGTAAACACAAACTGAGGTACATTTTATAAAAACACCAGACTAGAACACCTCAAGACCAGCAAGATCATCAAAGGAAAGACTGGGAAACTACTACACAGCAGAAGAAAGTAAGAGAACATGAAACTCAATATGTCGTGGTATGCTGGATTTTATCTCAGAACCGAAAAACGGAAATTAGTAAAATGAAACAAACAAGCAAACCAAGCAAAACAAAACAAAAGCAACAGTAACACAATAACACTGGATAAATCTAAATAACCTTTGTAGGGTAGCACTGTAACAATGTTCCTTAGTTTTGATTAATGTACTATGATTACATAGTACCTTAATGGTAAGATGCTAATATTGGGGGAACTGGAGTGAAAAGCTGGGTGAAGTGTACACAAAATACTCTGTAAATCTTTGCAAACCTGCTATAAATCTTAAGTTATTTTAAAACAGCAAGTTAAAAACAAAGAAATATAGGTATAACAGACAACTATTACTAGCAGCCTTAAGAGCCACCCACAAAAATTTTTCCCTTGTTTAATATTTTTAAAATATTTGGAATATGACTGTTAATGGGAGATCTTCAAAACAAAATAAAATTCCACTAAAGATACACGCAACCAAGTAAACTTTCCACTAAATCAGGAGAACATATTAGGGTTTTTTTGTTTAAAAAATGAATGTCTTCATTGGTAAATCTAATGGGATTGTGTTAGCTTTTGATCTTTTAGTCATCATGATAAATGTTAATATTTTTTCTTTCTTTTGTCTCTCTCTTTCTCTGTGTATCTACATATCTACATATATAATTAACTAGTTACATATAATATATATTCTATATGTAATGTTATATAATTATAACTACAGAATTATAGTAACATGTACAGGCCTTTAATAATCTCAGACTTCAAAATTCTAATATAAAGCAGCATATTATTTGTTTGAATTTGTAATCCATAAATGTTTAGTGTGATTAAAGTACTAAATAAATTAAAAGTCTTACACTACACTTCATGCTTAACAGTTTTCTATTTGCTTGAGAAAAAAGAAAAAAGAAAAAAAGTCCATCTGAGATTGATAAAGTACTAAATAAATTAAAAGTTTTACACTACATTTCATGCTTAACAATTTTCTATTTGCTTGAGAAAAAAGACACAAAGAAAAAAAAGGCCATCTGAGATTAAGATATGACACTAAAAAGAAAATTAATAGCATAATGAAAATTTGTCATGCATCTCTTCACTAATTAATGCCGTTGTTTAGCTTTTTATTACACTATATTATCAAATATATGAGCGATTTTAGGAGAAAATAATGATCAAAGGTAGTATGAGAAATATTAAAAAATTGTAAGTGGACAGGTATATCATGCGTCAAGAATATCCTCTAAAATGTATATCAAAAGCTATCTCTTCAAAGGCTCCTTTCAAGATAAAACATTATTTAAAAAGTTTCAAAGAAATAAGATGAAATATGATAACAGGAAAATCTAATGGACCAAATTAAGAAATTGCTGTTAATATCAGATGTCACTCTTATCACAGTACTATTGAAAATCCATCTTCTTTCTGAACAGGAGAGGCAGGGTAGAGTATGTCCTATAAATGTTTTCTGTGATTTAGACCAGTGGAATTACATAACGGGCTTAGAAATCAGTTGCATCTGTGAAGATGACTTTTTATTTCATACCAAATTCTTTTCTCAAACAAGCTACTTTTACATTTTTCAGCTTATTTTCAAATTTTGCCCTAAGTCATTAATCAAGTTAATTAAATTGAAATCTTGTTACAAAATGCTATAAAGTTTCCGTTAAACAAAAAGCTTCTCACCATAAACAACAGATGGCATAATTTAAAAATAAAGAACTGCAAATCCTTGGGAAAACATTCTTATTAAAAGTATAGAGAAAGACTAAATGACAGAACCTCCTTCTCTCAAATTATTCCAAAATAAATACAATCAAGAAGTTAAGAACACTAGCACAAATTAAACACATACCATTATATCTTAACAGAAAAAAAAGAAAGCATATTTAAAAATCAATACCTGTCCTAAGCGCCAACTATGACAATTGTACTTCATCCAAAATTAGGAGGGAAGGAAGGTGAGTGAGTGGTCAAAGCCTGGCATCCACACTTATTACCACCTAAAAATTATTTTGTGGAAGACCCATCCTGAGAAGATAGGCAGGGGTTCTATAGAAAAGAGGTTGAAAACTTTAGCACAGATGTGTAACTTTACCACTCAATGTGTCACCACTGCTATCTAGGACTACCCTTTAAAGCTATGATGAAAAAGCTTGTGAGAAAAGGCAGCTAATTTAAAGTATTCTCCCTTGAGACTTCCTCTATGACTCATGAGTTATATAGAAATGCGTTTTTTACTTTATAAATACTTGGAGATTTCCCAGATAACTTTCTAAAATTGACTTCTAGCTTTATGTTGTCATAGTCCAAGAACATAACTTTGTATATAATTTCTATCATTTTACATTCATTAAGATTTGTCTTATGTTCCAGAACTCAGTCTATCTTGATGTATTTCAGTTACTCATGGGAAGATAATATATTCTGCTGTTGTTGGGTGGAATATTCTACAACTCTTAGATCCAACTGGTTGATAAGTGTTTTTCAGGTCATCTATTTCCTTACTGACTTTCTGCCTACTGAGTTCTATCAGCTACTGAGAGAGGCATGCAGATACCTCTAACTATAATTCCAGATTTATCTGCTTCTCTTTACAGGTCCATCCATTTTTCCTCATGTATGTATTTTGAAACTCTATTGATAGATGCATATCTAGTTAGGATTCTGAAATCTTTGTAGAAAATGTACCCCTTTTAGCATTATGTAATATTTCTCTTTATTTCTGAAAAATTTTCTTGTTCAGAAGTGTAATTTTCTGAAATTAATATAGTTAAAACAGCCCTCTTTTGGTTAGTGACTTTTATCTTTATCCATCCTCTACCCTAATTTATCTTTCTCCATCCTGGTTTACCTTCTCCATTTTTTTTACCCTAACTTATCAATGGCTGAGATTTCTACTGTTTCTCATAGACCACATATAGTTGGATCATTATTCTTTACCTAACATAAAATTATCTTTTAATTAGTAGATTTAGATCATTCACATTTAAAATGGTTATTTATATGGTTGGGTTCAATCGGAACATATTGTTAGTAATTTTTTATTTGTTACAATTCGCTTTTGCTTCTTTTATTTTTCTGCACTCTCTGGTTTTAACTTAGCATCTTTTTAAGTGATATCATTTTATCTAATTTGTGGACTTATTGTTTATATTATTTTTAATATTTTTGTGGCCACTCTAGGATTTGCAACATGCTTTTTAAAATCACCTGATGTTACCTTCAAAGAATATTATACTACTTCACGTGCAGTGTAATTACATATAGCAAATTCCTCCCTCCCATCCCTGTGCCATCATTGTTATGCATTTTATGCTGCACACACCCAATATATAGTATGGTTTGTTTTTCCTCGGTTATCTTTTAGAAAAACTAAAAACATTTTCTTATTAGCACAAATTCAGTTTTTAGTAGTTTTTAAAACATTTCTAGCTTGATCCTCTTACCAATCTATATGACATTCTGGAGCATCTGTTGCAGGTAAGCAAGTACTTGGATCCTTTTTCTCCTTTCAGAGGAAAGAACCTCTTCTCGACTTTTTCGATATTTGAGACAGGATTTTGTCCTGCAACCTCAGTTTTCTATTGGGCTCAAGAAAGGCTGTTAATTTGCATTTTGTCTAAATTTTTCTTATTGTAAGTGTGTGGGTGATGCTCTTCTTAGTGCTCTCCATTTCCCAGCTGAAAGAAGTCTAATTTAAAATAAAGATAAATGAACAAAATGAGACAATAATTAAGAGAGGCTTTTCTAATGCAATATAATTCTTAGGAGAAAGGGTCTTGATGAATATTTTTTTCTTTACTTCTTATTAACAAAGCCAATGCTGGTAACACACACACAGACACACACACACACACACACACACACACACACACACACACACACAAAGGCTTTGCATTTCCATGACACCCCTTAGCTTACTGGGAAGTGAAAATGACTGCTGGAGAGAGGAGAAGTACTGATGGTTAATGATTGAGATTTAGTCCCTGTATTAGTCTGTTCTCACACTGCTATAAAGAAATACCAGAGACTGGATAATCTATGATGGAAAGAGGTTTAATTGACTCATAGTTCCACATGGCTAGGGAGGCCTCAGGAAACTTACATTCATGACAGAAGGTGAAGAGGAAGCAATGACCTTCACATGGCAGCAGGAGGGAGAAGTGTGTGTGAGAGGGCAGAAAAAACTACCATTTATAAAACCATCAGATCTCATGAGAATTCAGTCACTATCACAAGAACTGCATGGGGGAAAGCACCCCCATAATCCAATGACTTCCCTCCCTCCTCACATGAGAATTACAGGTTTTTCTCTCAGTACATGGGGCTTACAGTTTGAGATCAGATTTTGGTAGGGACACAGAACCAAACCATATCAGTCTCTGATCAAGTTTTAACAGAAACCTCTACCTATGATGGGGAGTGAACTATGTACAAACTCTTTGACATTACATGAAGAAACCTAGGCACTATATCTATGAATAGCCATTGAGTTGTCATTGTTCTTTTGTATCAATAAGGATGTGTTTAGTAAGAATTTCTACCAGAGATGTATTATCACACCTAACATACAACTGACACCCAACAAAACAGGTAGTATATAACAGAAGTCCTGTAATAGAGAATCCTAGACTGGTTCAGATCTTCAGAGATACAATTTGGAAATGAGGCTTAGACATCCTTAAATATCAGCCTGATTTATAGGCTTACTTTCTATTATTTGAAATCCTGGACATCTCACACCTAGGTAAGGATAGATTTATTTTCATTATTTTTTTAAGTCAGGGAGTAAGACCTTTACCAGAAATTATCCCCCCAGCAGACTTTTTCTGGGTCTATTCCTACTGTGAATCAAGATTTTTCAATATGTCTATTTGCTTACTGTGATTGAAAGTGGAAAAGCTAGTGTCTGACATTAGCAGTTTTTATAGTAGAAGATAAACTCAGCCAGATAGGAAAATGTGTGGGTCATTGGGCTTTTGGGTATGCAATTATTGGCACTATGAAACACACATCTCCTTAAAAATATCTTGCTATGAAAGATGGATAAAATCAACAATATTTATATCTCAAGACAAAACTTCAAGGGAAAGACAAATATCTTGGGTTACATGGAAATAAAATCTCGCCATTTCAGTAACATCCTGGTTCAAGCCACCAACAATAGTTACAACATCCCAATATGTTACTGTGAAAAATTATTTTATTATTAATGTGATAAGCTGAATTATATATGATAGCTAAAGGTAATTCCAACCTGGCATTTGTCATTTCAATATTTAGAACAAAGTCATCATGGTATGTTACCTGGTTATAATTAAGCTAAAGTTTAATATAGGGCTTAATTTTCCTGGTTAAAATGGAATAGAAAAGAAGGTCTCATTTTAGGCATGCTAAGCACGGCTTTCTCATGATATCTTTGTTCTTGGAGCAACATTCCAATAAGAGGGCCTAAAAAGAAAACATTGAAAAATATATCAGCAATCTCAGGAATTGGACAATGCCATTAAACAAAATAATAGGACAGTAATTTTATTCATCATCAACATATTATTAAACAAGTATACTCCGTATTTTAGTTTTTGTTTTAATACTGAGAAATGTAGATCATGGCAAAAATAAATACATTTGTTTAAAATCATAAAACACATTATGAACCAATTTAAGATTAAATCTTTCCTGCTATAAATTCAAAATTACATACCATTATACATCCTAATTCTAAAGCATTATGCTTTATGAAATCACGCTCCAAGAATATTTTTGTAGTGCAATTAGTGGCATCATTAATGAATAATTCAAATTTCTTAATTCAAAGAAACTGAAAATGGCAGAAGTATTTGGTGGATCCCTGAAGCCAATACAGTTTATGTGCAGTTATTCTATAGTTGTTATGAAAAATTTATAAAATACTATAATTAGTTGATAAATTAACAAATAAGAATCAATACTTATGAGCCTCATCAATATGTATATACTTAACATAAAACAAATATATATAAATTTTTAGGAATATTTGATAGACTATTTAGAATATTACAAAGTATTTACAATATATATTTAAAATCCAAGGACAACTGATAATGTCAAAAATTATAGACAGAGTTACTAAAAATATATGTATTAGAGGGCTCACAAAATGATTTGAAGAGTGAAATGGAAACATGTATAATATATATAAATCAAAATGTCATTTAAGTGGAACAGAAAATTGATAATATTATATGAAAAATTTTAATAAACTTTCCTTAGAATAAAACCTCACCATTTCTCATTTTCCCCTCTCCCAAGTATAGAAATTATCAACTCTTATTGAATGCCTATTATGTTTCAAGCTTTCTATGGGGTGCTCAAATTGAAAGAGCGACAATTTCCAAGGACTTCTTAGACTAGTAGAGATGACAGACAACTAAGCAATTTCAGTATAATTTAAGTATTGTGTGAAAGATTAATATACAAGCTTTTATAATAGTACATCAAATATGTTCTTCTCATGAAAAGAATGATATGATTAAAGCCATTTATGGTAAATTGTCATCTAAGCTGAACTGTCAAGTTAAATAGGAATTGGTCATGTGAAAGTAGTTTTCTCTCCACAGATGGACTACTATATGAAATACCACAGAGGTACAAGAAACAAGGCACGTTCAGGAAGTTATATTTATCCTTCCATTTTTCTTGGGGCATGATGTTCAAGAAAGGAAAGGACAGAATAAAAACTTGGAAAAGTAAGTATGTTAAGACATTAGGGGTTATGTGTGAAGTCACAGCACAGTAGCTGTCACTGTTATCTCTCTAAAATTCCAAGTTTTGTTGTTTTTTTTTTTTCTGGCTACTTGCTTCTTGGTAAAATTACCTGAACTGGTAGCCATATGGACTAAACTGACCATAATTTTGTGCTACGATACCAGCCTGTATATAGCTGCCCCTAAAATACATGTGAAAGTGTGAGTCCAAGAGCCATATCCCACTGACAAGAACAAGAGGACAAAACAGAACTTGGCAGTTCTACCAAACTACCCAGAGCATTACCCCAGCACTCTCATTGATGTTTTATCACTCAGAGCTTTTGAGATATTCAAAAGGGAGACTTTCATTTGCAGATGTTTAACATGACTATCCATCTGTTTATCATCTATATATTCATACAATAATGATCCAAATGAAAACAGGAAAAGTTTCCATTGAATGTAACTGTGGGTCTACAGTAAAATGTGAAATAACACTAAAATATTTAAACACCATGTATGTAGATTGTTATTTGAGAACTGCAGCTACAGGGATTGCCTTTTCAGGTCCGAACTGAACCAGTAAGTAAGTTTTATATTATGTATACAGTTTTATACAATATATAGTATTGGTATCTAATGTATACATTGAAGCTTTTGTTGAGTTCTAATTACAGACAATCACCCGGTGTGCTCAGAATTTATAGATAAGAGAATATAGAAAACTCTCAAATAGAAATCATTGTAACGATATAACTAATTAGTCACAGGCATTTTTCAAGGCATTAGAAGGAGTGAAATACCTTACGTTGTAATTTGTAAAGCTAGAGCAGAATGTTAATATGGACTCTATCTGTAACTGTTTTCTCTGAGTCCCAAACGCTAAAAAATATACAAAGGGCCGGGCGTGGTGGCCGACGCCTTTAATCCCAGCACTTTGGGAGGCTGAGGCGGGCAGATCAGGAGGTCAGGAGATCGAGACCATCCTGGCTAACATGATGAAACCCCATCTCTACTAAAAATACAAAAAGAAATTAGCCGGGTGTGGTGGCGGGCACCTGTAGTCCCAGCTACTCGGGAGGCTGAAGCAGAATGGTGTGAACCCAGGAGGCGGAGCTTGTGGTGAGCAGAGACCGTGCCACTGCACTCCAGCCTGGGCGACAGAGTGAGACTCAGTCTCAAAAAACAAAAATACATATATAGATAGATAGATACAGATATATAAAGATTACAAACATCCACTTAGCCAAAAGCAGGACAAAAGCCCATTTATGCTTTTTAAAAATCAATTCTGCCCACATTAATGATCTCTAGGGTATAAATTGATGGGGGTTGAAATTGGGATAAAAATACTTAGTCAGGAAGAGTTTTCAGCACAATATATTTTTCCTCAGAATCATGGAGAAGAAAGTCATTCTACTGTTACTCCAAGCTGAGAAAAAAGGAGCTTATGAAGTCCCTAAAATAAATATTTGTACCAAGAGATTTGGCAAATATGAAATATTCATGTGGGAATGAGTGATAGCAAAGGTTATCAGAAAAAGTAATTACCCAAAACTTGATAAAAATAAGGTAAAAATTTTGGTGGCAGTTTATTTTGACACTAAAAGAGACACAAAAAATATCCAATGAGAGTTTAGGGTAATGAATTTAGTTTAATGGTTTTAGATTAAGTAAAGTTTCTTTTGAATCTTTAGGTTTTCAGCAGTAGTGATGCAATATAACTTGTTCAGTGACAGAGATTGCTCCAAAGATTTTTGGACTGTTGAGTATTGACCAGTTTCATATCTAATCCAGCAATCTTTGTCCAATTGCCTGCAGATAGGCTGGATTCTCAAATGCTCATTAACTTAATTTTTTATTCAATGATTAATGAGTCAAATAAAATCTGATATATATGCATTTTATATTTGTCTGAAAGTTATAATTTTACCTTTTTGAAATTTACACTTTTTAACTTGGCATGGTGGCACATACCTGTGTTCCCAGCTACATGAGAGGCTGAAGAAAAAGGATCACTTGGTCCTGGAAGGTTGAGACTGCAGTTAGCTGTAATCATGTCACTGCACTATACCCCGTGTGACACAGCAATACCCTGTCTCAAAAAAAAAAAAAAAAAGAAAGAAAGAAAGAAAGAAATTTACATTTTTTAGGTTATGCATGGCTTTGCATATGTGGTGGCAGAATAAAGAGGGGAGGCTACAAAACAACAATCTGTCCCTCACACAAAGGATGTCATGGGAAGGGAGAAAATTTTGGAGTTCATCCTAAATTAATCTCTCACAAGTACTGCCTGTGATGGCAGTGGTGGGCCTTCTGGAGTGGTGGCTGCCATCATCCTGGCTGCAGCAGGGAGGCAAGGTCAGGGCTGCATGCTCCATGGAGCCAGAAGGAAACTCTGGCCAGGGACAAGTGGCAGCCTCACCCCTTCCCAATTGGGGCAGGAACTCCTTGGGTGCCACTGCATGGGGCTGTGGCCCCAGACATCCCTGTGCTCTCAGGTGCAGGCAGGAATCCCACCCTACCAGGTACAGCTGCAGCCACCCAAACCTCTGCTGCCCACAAGGAAAGAGGGGATGGGGGGTGTGCTTCCCTCTCCACTGAGCAGGCAGGAGCCCTGCCCTCTGGGGATGCAGCTGCAGCCACCCAAATCACAGCTGTGGACCCATCCCTGCACTCTTGAGTGTCCAGGCAGGCCCCCCTTGCCCTCACAGACTCCAGAGTGCCTGCTCCCACTGTCTGGCTTCTCCCTGCTGTTGGTGCCTGCACTAATCTCAGAGAAAAGTCAGAGCTGCACCCAGGCACTGTCACAGCATGGCCAGGTGTGTACACATTCACAGAAGTGCTGACACACCAGCCTCCTGCCTCCTTGGCCCTCCCTGGACTTTTGAAACTGATGAGCATGAGAGGAAAGTCAAGGGGTGGCTGAGGGCCAGCCTGGCCTGCAGGCAACCCTTGACATAAGCGGGAGGCAGGCAGTCTCCTGGGCAGAAGGGGGCAGGTCCTCACTGAGGCCCCACCTTCAGGCCAGAGAAGGCCTGAAGGCTGCAGTCCAGGCTATCAGTCCTGATGAGCAGAGTGGGAACTTGTGGTGCCCTTTTTGGGCCTGCCCATGGCTGCCCATGGACCAACTGTCATGCACTTTTGCCCTTCTGAGGACCATAGAAGTCCCAGGTTCAGCCACAGCTGGGCAGAGGGTGGGATGACCAGCCGCAGAGGGGAGCTACCCACTCCAGGACCTCCTCTCTGCTGAGAGTCAAGCAGACATCAGGCAACCAGCTGCAGAAATACACACTTCAGGGCCTCCTTTCTACTGAGAGCTGCAGAGATGTTGGAATGCTCTGCCTGCAGAGAGGAGCAGCCCATTCCAGGGCTGCTTCTCTGCTAGGAGCTGAACACTCACTGGGACACCTTGGCTGTGGAAAGGAGCTGCTCCATGTGGAAAACTGAGCTCTTTGTAGCTCCTCTCCATCTTGTTCACCCTCCACTTGTCTGTGTACCTCATTCTTCCTAGTCATATGATAAGAACTTGGGACCCATCAAATGGTGGGGATAAAAGAGCTGTAACACAAACAGGGATGAAACATGCCCCTTGCCTGCCATGTTGCAGGCAAAGAGAAGGAGAGAAGAGCTGCAGCCCTTCAGGGAGCCCAGACGTGGGAGCTCCCTGAGCCAGGGCTGTGACTCTCTCTTTAGGGCCCTGTGGTTCCTGGCATCTCCACACTTCCGGTGCCAACATGTTCCCCTGTGTAAATCATGAAAGCTGCTTGCACTGCACCTGGTCTGGCTGCAGCCTCACAAAGAGCCAGCAACCATGCCAGCCTCACAAAGAGCCAGCGGAGTGGAGCTGCTCACCCCACTGCAGTAGTTGGCATGTCTGACTGTGGGCAGTGTCTGGACCCCACACTCGCTCACACACACTTTGCTGTTCCAAGCCTGACTTGCCCTTGGGAGTTGTGGGACCCAGGCTGGTAGTGTGAGCCAAGCACAGTCTGCCAGACTGAGTAGCTGAAATGAGCCCAACAGGCCTGAGCAAAACTTGGGCTAAGGTGCCACTGGCCACAGAGGTGTCCAGCTAGAAAAACAACAACCCAGAGATCCTGTAATACCTGGAGAGTCGATATGATTCTATTATACATAATAGTTGTTCATGATGGATTGCCAAAATACCTCATTATTAATGAGTTAAACAAAACACTTGATATATGTTCATTTTATATTTACCTGAGTAAAAATTTAACCTCTTTGTTAATGTACTTTCTTAGTTTTGGAAGGCATCTGCGGATTCCCAAGTGGACTCATGTAACAGTCAATAAATGATTGAGGAAGTATACTATATAAACTCATGTTGGCTAAATAAGTCTTTATAGATTCCTAAAGGGTATCCCAACAAAAGAACAAAACTTTACCTTCACTGACTTTGTTTTCCTGTCACACATACTACCCCATTTTTTTTTAACTGACATTGATGTTTTTTCCTCTGTTTTTCTAGTTTGCCCATGGACATGATGTTATTTACAATTGGTAACAGCAGTTTCTGTTATGTAAGAGATGATAGAGAATCCCAGTATCTATTTTTTAAATTAAGTCTGAGTTTTTCTTTAAATGAAGCAATTAAAACATCTCAATTTATGATGTCAGAACAAATATCTATCTTATTTACCATCGTATCGCAAATGTCTACCACAGCTTTGTTCTACCAAGAGTAGGCATTTACTACTTGTTGAGTAAGTAATAGTGTTGCATCAGCAATTGTGTTTTCTTCCTTGCCACATTTATTATGTTAGTAGGTGGTGATGTTTCTTCCAGTGAACTACCCATTTTGCACTTTATTGTCCTTCTTTCTGAGTTCTAGCAGACTATATTTCGAACCAAATGGATTAACTTTTGAAATACCAGTCCGTGTGATCACAGTGAGTTCTTATCTGCCACTAAAACCTGTTTAATGGAAGACATCTCAAGCTGAAAAATACCTTCTGGAAAATATTATATTTTAGTAAAAGTAAATAAAAATGGATTGTGGTTAAAAGTCCATCTAGAATATATTTTGTTTGTTTTTTTTCTGACAGATTTCTTATCTAAATCTGACTATAGTAATGTTTTATCTCTGGCTTAAAAGTGTAGCTGGATCAATTTATTTAAACATTGCTAGAGTGTGTTGAGCTATTAGAAGTCTGGCAAGAATCAATGCACAAGCATTTTTAATAATCTAATACAAGACTAGATAAATCACTTATCCTTTCTCCTAACTAAAACCCTGAGACACTTCTCTGGCTAATCTTACTGCCTTACTCCTTGTGCCTTCTTTTTTACTTTGTAGAGATCATACTTTTCATTCTTTTTTTAGAGCTGTCAGTAATATTTTTTATTGAAGTGCCTCATAAAGCCCAAGACTCCTCATCAATTAAGATATCTCATTTTTTATCTCCCTATTTCCTTAACTCAAAAAAGTAGTTCCTTCATACATTAATTTTTTAATGCAAAACAGTATAAGATTAAGAAAGACTAAATTAATAAACATGGCAAAATACAAAGATTTAGGCCACATAGCTAGTATGTAATGCCTGGTTTATTATCTATTTTATATCTAAAAGCCATGGCAGTATTCTGTGTTTTTAATTTTTCCAAATTACATATATTTCTCTTCCTTACTTTCCTAGTACTTATTCATTGAACTCCTCCCTCTCTAATATTAAATTTTGTCAAAAACTAAAAAATCATTCAAAGTGGTGGTTTTCTTGGTTGGGCATTATATATATTTCCATTAAGACAGGCCCAAAGATTCAAACAGGAAAGAACATATTAAAGCATTTTCTGTTACTTAAGCATATCTAATATTTAACCAAGACACATTCTTGAAAAGGCAAGGTGGTGTTAACTAGAATAATACACCCCATAAAGATTAACTGAACAGCCAACTATTTATAGTAACCACCACTATTGCTTTCTAAATACAGAATTTACTACTGTCCTACGTACTCTAATAAGATGGGAGCAAAGTCATCTATTTTTTAAAATGTCTAGCACTTCAAATTCCTCATATTAAAAGTGAATATCCCACCCTTTTCTCAAAATTTATTCTTCCTTTTGTGGACTGTATTCCATAAACCGCTTCAAATGTCATTCATAGCTAGGAAGATAGCAATGATTTTTTTTCTCCTTATACATTTATTTCTGAATTTGTCCCTGAGTAGTGTACTCAGAATGTTTTTTCTTTTTTTTTTATTATTATTATACTTTAAGTTTTAGGGTACATGTGCACAATGTGCAGGTTAGTTACATATGTATACATGTGCCATGCTGGTGCACTGCACCCACTAACTCGTCAGCTAGCATTAGGTATATCTCCCAATGCTATCCCTCCCCGCTCCCCCCCACCCCACAACAGTCCCCAGAGTGTGATGTTCCCCTTCTGTGTCCATGTGTTCTCATTGTTCAATTCCCACCTATGAGTGAGAATATGCGGTGTTTGGTTTTTTGTTCTTGCGATAGTTTACTGAGAACGATGATTTCCAATTTTATCCATGTGGACAAGGACTTCATGTCTAAAACACCAAAAGCAATGGCAACGAAAGCCAAAATTGACAAATGGGATCTAATTAAACTCAAGAGCTTCTGCACAGCAAAAGAAACTACCATCAGAGTGAACAGGCAACCTACAAAATGGGAGAAAATTTTCGCAACCTACTCATCTGACAAAGGGCTAATATCCAGAATCTACAATGAACTCAAACAAATTTACAAGAAAAAAAACAAACAACCCCATCAAAAAGTGGGCAAAGGACATGAACAGACACTTCTCAAAAGAAGACATTTATGCAGCCAAAAAACACATGAAAAAATGCTCACCATCACTGGCCATCAGAGAAATGCAAATCAAAACCACAATGAGATACCATTTCACACCAGTTAGAATGGCAATCATTCAAAAGTCAGGAAACAACAGGTGCTGGAGAGGATGTGGAGAAATAGGAACACTTTTACACTGTTGGTGGGACTGTAAACTAGTTCAACCATTGTGGAAGTCAGAATGTTTTTTCTTAAATGCAGTCCTGGTTATATCAATTTTGAATAGAATTATGCAGAGTACCCATTAGAATAATTATATGAATCAGTTAAGTGGCATTGGAAATATCAATCTAAAACATGGAAAAACAGGTTGGATTAGAAATTCATTAGCAAATTATCATGACAGGTACTATTACACCCAACAAGTCAAGAAAACTACTCAGTGGCAACTTAAGCAACTTGATAGTAAAATCAAAATTATCAGCAAAATCTTATAAATATATACAGTAAAATTGATTTCAATCGGAGAAGACATACATTTTGTAGTCGGAGCCATTAATGAGTTTGGTTGAAACAATGGGAACTCAAGTATTCATCCTATAATAGACATCAATAATTTCTGGACGTTACTAATCAAATTTATATAAACCAGTCAACATGAGCTGATTACTGTAGCATTAGGAATAATACATACACTGATTTGTACTTTTCCTTTTTATAGCATCTTTGTTGTATAACTTTTAAGTTCAATGAGGAAACTAAACTATATTCATTTTATTTCAAGAAATTAAGTGTATTTAGATATCTAGGTGGAACTATATTGCAATTCCTTTAAAATCAGATCATCCTTACATATTCAGTAAAAATTTAATTATGTTATCTCTTAGATATTTAATGGTAAATCAAACTTCTCTCAGTCTGTGTAAAAACTTCTTAATTCCATATTCCCATGTAGTGATGAATTCAACTTAAATTCAGCTCACACACAAAGTTATAAGCTCT
This sequence comes from Homo sapiens, assembly GCF_000001405.40. NCBI lineage: Eukaryota > Metazoa > Chordata > Mammalia > Primates > Hominidae > Homo > Homo sapiens. The sequence goes on along the minus strand of NC_000005.10, from coordinate 99,924,746 downwards.
GCTACCTTCTACTCATTAAACTCTGAGGGAAACGTTGAGTGGCAGTGTTTAGGATTATTGTTGTTTTTTAAAAGGCAAGGCCTTTTCAAAACAGATGCTCATCCACAAACACATCCAGGCATAGTGTTTGTCATGATTTTAAAGCCACTTTAAAGAATCACTGGAGGAAAAAATTCTGTATCGATCTCCAAGGGGCTAGGGTTGAATTAATTCCTGTGTTGCCATTCATTCTGAGGAGTGCCAGTGTTAAAAACAATGTTTTATCGTGAGTTTGCATGTTATATTAGACCAAAGCTTTGATTTTTTTAAAAGTAAAATTCTAGAGTAGAGATATTTCTTGGGGTTTTCTCATCCTTTAGGCTTAGTTAAGAGCATTAGATAATTATGTTGTTCCTTAAAATAAATTCTAAAAGTCTGAAAATATTAGCAATGTATTAAGCTTCCATTCTCTTTGAAGAGTCCTTATTTCTTTTTTTTTGTTTGTTTTGTTTTTTGTTTTTTGTTTTTTTTTTGAGACAGAGTCTCACTCTGTTGCCCAGGCTGGAGTGCAGTGGCCTCCCGGGTTCATGCCATTCTCCCGCCTCAGCCTCCCAAGTAGCTGGGACTACAGGTGCCTGCCACCATGCCCGGTTAATTTCTTGTATTTTCAGTAGAGACTGGGTTTCACTGTGTTAGCCAGGATGGTCTTGATCTCCTCACCTCGTGATCTGCTGCCTCGGCCTCCCAAAGTGCTGGGATTACAGGCATGAGCCATTGTGCCCGGCCGAAGAGTCCTTATTTCTAAGCAACCATGTTTTAATCTTTATTATTTTAAATTGCAAAAGCATCAGAGGATCTTGTGCAGAGAGATTGTTTCCTTCCGCAATGTTGACATTATATTTTGAATTTTTAACGGACGTTGGCAGTAACTCAGTTTGAAAATTGGATGAAATCAACACCCCCACAAACTTAGCCTTTCATTAACTCAGTGGAAAGCTTAATGATGTCTATGGTTGCCAATATACAGTCACATTTTTCTATTTATCTACTCAAATAGTTCCAGAAAAGGTCAGATTGAATTTATAACAGTGGTTGGGCTGCTGTAGATATATATCACTAGAGGAATAAAATACAGCCTTTGAAATGATTTTACTGCCAACCCAGAAGAGCAATCAGAAATGTTAATTATGACAGGAGCAGTGAGTGCTGTTGGATCATAAGCCCTAAAAGATCTTTCTGTCTTAATTTTATTTAAGGAAATGAAGAAATACGGACGCACAAAGAAGACTGATTTTCTTTCATGAAAAATTGGAGTTTTAAAATCTATTTTATAAATATACCCATCATATATACATAAGCTAGTACATATTTAGACTGAACTTTTGTTTTAAAAAATCAATATATTTCCTGTTACGTTTAGGCATTTGAATATCTTAGAAAATTGCATAAACTAAGCTAGCCAATGAGTACAATGGAAGAGCAATCGCCCAGTGGCTTCTAACATTGACACCAGTCATGCTTCTTCCATTGACATGTAGTCTGATGTGGGGCTAGTGATATATTTCTTAAACTATAGAGGATATATATGTAAAACAAAGCTACTGAACTAGGTGATATTGTAAAATATCTTACAACTTTAAACTTTACTGCATGGTTTCCTATTTACTTTCTACAGTGCTAAAAATAAAAAGCATTGTAACTTCTCCAGTTATCTGGTTAAGATTAATTGAAACAATCTGCAAACACTTCAAGTTGAAAGAACATTATTTATTGAAGCAATGCAGTTCAGTCTTTTTTATTCTTATCTGTTGTAGAAAGTACATTTTATATTTAATATAGCACTGGCCTAGGAGATATTGAACCTGAATATAAAGTTTTCTTACAACATGAAGCAATAAAGAACCATCAACTTTGAAATACCCCATTACACAAGACTATTATTACACCTAAATATTCATTCCTAAATAATGGACAATGGGACTTATTTTAATAAATTAAGTCCAGACATATTTGGGAATTAGTTTTTAATCCTTAGTTAACATAAACAAGATGAACTCCCTTTTCCTGCACTGAAAAATTTCTAATAATACCTCTTAGGAAACTATTCAATAACCCCCCTCATTGTCATGGGTTATCTTCTATGCAAATTAATAGACTCAACTTTGTGTGTGTTTTAGTCATTATTGTTTGCTTTGCTTTGTTTTGGCTTTAGCTCCAGAAGTCATTTTAACAGTCTCAAGTTTCCACTGAGATTTCCTTGGTGAGCTTCACTCAAAAGTACTTTGCCACTTGCCCACAGAAATGAAAAGTTAGCATTTATAAATCCTTTTGTTCTCAGTCCATCTTCTGGTGGTCCTGAATCATGAGTGAGTTTCATAGCAGAAATCATAGCCTCCTATGAAATTTTGTTTTAATGCTGTAACGATTTAACTTTTTGTGTATTTTTATTTTTGTGTGTGTGAACTTTCAGGTTGGTTAGTTGTCCATGATCCTATTTGGATAAGAGAAGCTATTGTTACTTTTTCATGGATTCATTTAATTCTGTTTTTCAGCTATAAAAGAAAACCTTTCTGTTCTATGTGAAGCATGGGAGTTCTATGCTTTAAACAGTTATGCCCTCCTCCCTCAATGTAAACTATTTTAATTTACCTTTACATTTGCTTATAAAGTTTATCATGACATGTATACTTAAATGAATCCCTGATTAATGCAGTCAGGTATAACACAAGACCAAATTAATGCTTCAAGATTATCAAGTCTCAAAAATGCTTCAGGAGCTTCTGTGTTAATTTATAGAAATTTCTGAATGTTTTTATAAATTAAAATAATATTTTTTAAGATAAGCTTTGCTGTTTAGACAGGAACTCAGAAAAGGTTTATTCTTTACTTGGCTATAAAATATTAAAAATTAAAACTCATTTCATGTTTTAAAATAATTTAAAGTGCTAATAGGTTTTAATAATAGTGTCATTAAACAATGTAAAGTATAACTATATGTATATATAAATGTACACACACTAATATAATATTAATAAACAAAAATTTTAAGTGATACAAAAAAGAGGTTGGATTGCTGCTCCAGGAATGAGGCAACAAAGACAACTATTATATGTTTTTCTTTGGGGGGGTGGCTTATAGGAGATATGTTCTACAATTTATAATATTGTTATCCCTAAACCCAACTTCCACATTTACAATCATGAAAAAAATAAGATTTTTTAAAATTTTCTTGAGAAACTTCTAGGAAAACATCAATATTTGCTTCTTCCTCATAAAAATGCAGAGATGTCAAAAGCATTAGGCTTTTAAAATTAATTAAAATTCTACAGATCTCAATTAAATCAAAACTTTTGTTAGACTGTAAGATTTTAAGAAAAACCTCAGAAATCATAGTTCAGTTTTCATGTTAGAATATATAAATAAATCTTATATTTTATGTTTAAATATTCTTACCAATTAAGAATATGCACAGTACACTTTATGACATCAATGATAGGTGCTTGAGCATTGCCAGTGCCCTCTCTGCTGCCAATAATATGTTCTTATGCCAAAATGATTTAAGACTAAGTCATTATAAGTGTGTATTTGTATATACACCTATATATTCATGTTATATGTTAATACAATTTTCTATTTTCCTTCATTCTGGTATTATATATAATAAATTCATCAGAGCCATTTAATCTTATCAACCATAGAAGGATTCTGATAATTTTTCCCCTCTTATACTTGCCTAAAGCCTCCTTTCACAAGCTGTGGATCAGAAATATGAAAGAAACATTAAAAAGTTTCAGAAAACTGCACCAGATGCTATTGAATACAATAACAACAAGAAATAAAGTATGGATTCGGACTTCCCAGAATAAGCTGGCTATTTTGACACAAGCATATACTTTTCAAACATCATCAAGTAACTGTGTCATGATTTCTTTTTTTTTTTTCTGAGACAGAGTCTCACTCTGTCACCCAGGCTGGAGTGCAGTGGCACAATCTCGGCTCACTGCAAGCTCTGCCTCCCAAGTTCACTCAATTCTCCTGCCTCAGCCTTCCAAGTACTGGGACCACAGGGGCCTGCCACCACACCTGGCTAATTTTTTGTATTTTTAGTAGAGACGGGTTTTCACCATGTTAGCCAGGATGGTCTCGATCTCCTGAACTGTGTCATGATTTCTATATATTTTTAGTCCAGTAGCATATGGAGTACTGGGATTAGACTGAATAACCCAAACCATGTTGATCAGAATTGACACTTAATAATAGAACTATTGGTTTATATCTAAATTCCTTAATTATTTTAATAATAAAATATAGAGCTTTTTATTTATTTATTTTTTACAACTTCCAAAAGTCTCCTTACATAGGCAAACCGTTTACTAGAGTCTGCAAAGTCATCACTGTATTAGCAGATGTAACTAATGGCTGAGTTTGTCATCTTTTTTTCTAGAATACGGGATATTAACTGTTTACTAGGGTATTATGCTTAAAATGTTCCTATTTGTAAGTATAAGATTTATCCATTGAAACGGTGTCCAGAATTGGTTCCATCCGGTGGGTTCTTGGTCTTGCTGACTTCAAGAATGAAGCTGCAGACCCTCGCGGTGAGTGTTACAGTTCTTAAAGATGGTGTGTCTGGAGTTTGTTCCTTCATATGTTCAGATGTGTCCAGAGTTTTTTCCTTCTGGTGGGTTCGTCATCTCGCTGGCTTCAGGAATGAAGCTGCAGACCTTCGCAGTGAGCGTTATAGCTCATAAAGGCAGCGCGTCAGGAGTTGTTTGTTCCTCCTGGTGGGTTCCTGGTCTTGCTGGCTTCAGGAGTGAAGCTGCAGACCTTCACTGTGAGTGTTACAGCTCATAATGGCAGTGCAGACCCAAAGAGTGAGCAGCAGCAAGATTTATTGTGAAGAGTGAAGGAACAAAGCTCCCACAGTGTGGAAGGGCGTTGCCGCTGCTGGCTCTGGTGGCCAGCTTTTATTCCTTTATTTGGCCCTGCCCATGTCCTGCTGATTGGTCCATTTTACAGAGCGCTGATTGGTCCATTTTACAGAGTGCTGATTGGTCCGTTTTTACAGAGTGCTAATTGGTGTGTTTACAAAGCTTTAGCTAGACAGAAAATTTCTCCAAGTCCCCACTGGACACAGGAAGTCCAGCTGGCTTCACCTCTGAAAACTTTTTAGATTAAAAAAATAGAACAAACTAGTTTTAGTAGACACTTTTAAAATGATAAAGCAACTTGTGTTAATTTAATTCCTATCATTATGACATAAATATCTAAGCAATGAAAGATAATATCTTTTATTATAAAGCTGCATAATGTGAAATCTTGCTGATGGTGTCACATCACTGGACATTACTGACACTTTTTGTTAAAAAACTAACGTTCTACTGATCAGACCAATACAATTTTTCTATTATCAACTCAGTAATTTTTTATTGTAATGGATCAGAGACATCTGAGAAATACATGTTTGAAACATAACAAGTATATTTGTTGTGACCTTGTGACTTAGTGTGTTTAGGCCAAGATAATATTGTCACACAATGTGGGCTTTGGTGATATGATTCTGCTAAGAAAGATTTTATTCAATATTGGAGTTTTAATAGTTCTACACATTAGTATCCTAAAATACTTAATCTTATCTTGAAAGAAAATTCTCTTAGGATGACAGACAATAAAAATAAGTATCCCAATTACAACAGAACTTATTTAAGATAGAAGACCAAATATTAAGTTTCATCACAACTGTCTCTAATCAGCGGAGGACATAATGAGCCATCAACCTGGGATGACTGTATTATGCCAGACCCTTCATGAATGTAACCAAAGACTCTTTCCTGAACAATGTGCGTGGTATTTCTTTAAAGATGTGTATAGACAACTGTGAACTCACTCCATATTATCCAACATCTGAGTTTTCTCAGTAATTATGATAAACACTTTAAACTACTACTTTACAACATTTAAATCTATGACTTTCCCCTTTAGAGAGATCTTCAGTGAATTTTTTCATTGAAACATGTTTCTTTGTCCAAGAAGTTGACACAGATTTATAATGTTAACTTTTTTAAGTTTGACGGTTACTATGTTAAAGAATAAAAGAGTAACTCCTGAGATTTACGAAAACACACAAGTAAAGCAATCAAACGCAGCAGCAGCAGCAAGAACCTACTAAAAATTTTAATTTACAAAATTGATGTTTATATGGTTACCTAAACTGATTATTATTTGCTTAATTCAAATTTAGAATAATTTATACTCCAGGAGCAAAATAAATAGCAGTGGATAAAAACTAGAATATAAAGATAGTAGGTAAGAAATTTTCTAGAACTAATTCGTTAACTGTTAGAAAAAAGGAAGTACCAAGTTGGATAAACCTTGATGAAGAAAATAATCTGATTATTTTAAATAACATATGTGGTGCAAATGTTCATTTAACTGGAAACTTATTGTATACTTAAATATGTACTTAACATAGCAGTACTCTATATAGTGACCTGTCTCTTCATGTGCCTCTCATAAAGTATTTAAGTATATGTCTATATTTTCAACATGACTTTTAAAATTAACTAATGAAGTAAATCATTACCAGTATCATGGCAGTATTTTATATCAAAAAGTTTGGCCGGGTGTGGGGGCTCATGCCTGTAATCCCAGCACTTTGGGAAGCTGAGGCGGGCAGATCACAAGGTCAAGAAATCGAGACTATCCTGGCCAACTTGGTGAAACCTCCATCTCTACTAACAATACAAAAATTAGCCGAATGTTGTGGCAGGCGCCTGAAATCTCAGCTAGTCAGGAGGCTGAGGCAGGAGAATCGCTGGAACCCAGGAGGTGGAGGTTGCAGTGATCCAAGATCATGCCACTGAACTCCAGACTGGCGACAGAGCGAGACTCCATCAAAAAAAAAAAAAAAAAAAAAAAATCAAAGGTACCTTAGTGTTTAAAGCAAAAATAATAATAAAATATTTTATGGTTTATAATATGCAAAGTAAAGTTATGACAAATAGCATAAAGGCTGCATGATAAGAATTGCCAGTGTAATATTTTAAGATTTTATGCTATTTATTAAGTGGTATAAAACCTGTAACTAACCATACTTAATTATGAAAGGCTGAATTATTTCACCCTAAGTTCAAAATGAATCCCAAGACACTTGTTTTCACCATCTCTGTCTCCTGATTATATTATATACTTAGTACCTGTATTAGGCCATTCTTGCATCTCTATAAAAAAATACATGAGAACGGGTAATTTATAAGAAACAGGTTTAATTGACTCTCAGTTCTTCAGGCTATACGGGAAGCATAGACTTTATATGCTTCCGGGGAGGCCTCAGGGAACTTTTACTCATGACAGAAGGCAAAGCAAGAGCAGGCACTTCACATGGGGAAAACAGGAGCAAGAGAGAAAGTGTGGGATGGTGGTGGGGGAAGGTGCCACACACTTTTAAAGGACCAGATCTCCTGAGAGCTCACTTGCTATAGTGAAGACAGCACCAAGCCATAAGGGATCCACTCCTATGACCCAAACACCTCTCACCAGGACCCGCCTCCAACACTGGTGATTACAATTCAACATGACATTTGTACAACAACAGATATACATACTCTATCAGTACCCAAGCAACAAAAATTCAACAACAAAAAAATAGAAAACAACATTAATAGCAATGAGTGATTTTATAAATCTCATTAAAAGAGTTAAAGAAATGGTATATAGTAAAATACTTATAAATACATAGCTGAATTCCCAAAAATAGGAAAAATGTCCCTAGTAACTATAAATAATTTAGACAATATAAGACTTCAGTGTGTATACATGGCTGTCCCTGGAGAATGCCAGTCTGCAAATGCTTTGCCTGTAATGATCACCTAGATACTGGGTACACAAAATTGGAAAGCCCTTCCTAAAGTCAATGATCTCAAAAGTTCAGCTTTTAAAGATCAGCTACACAAAAATATCTGGTTTGGCTTAGAATTTGTGTGGGTAAAAAGCCACTTTAGAATGTGTAACCGTGGGCCATCCTCACATGAGACTTTGGGTTGATTTCATATTAGTAGCATGATGTAGAGAATTTCACACTGAAAAATTAATAATTACAGAGTTTTAAGAATTGTAACAATGTGCACCTGTCAGAAAAAAACACTCTCAACAGGTCTCACACAATCCCTACAGACTAAGTAAATTGTATCTTTGGAGGAAGGAACTAATTTCACAAAGTGAATGACAGACACAAGGAGGAATTTGAGCTGAGAAACTGGTAGGCCTGTTGGCAACAAACTTAAGTGATTTAAACATATAACAATGTAAGCATAGATTTACAGAATTAAATGAGTAAATGGAAAGAAAAATCTATCTATTCAGGAGGCATTCTTAAAACTCTTAGTAATACAAAAGCACAGCAAAATTTTGGATTATTATAATTTTATATGAAAGAGAAAAAATAAGCAGAGCTATTTCCAAAATCACTGGAAAATGTTTTTTGACTTACAAATATTTCCACATGTTGAAATGTGATAAAATTTGCTATGAAGAAGGTAGAGTTTTCATCTGTGTATTTTTTTGATGAAAAAAATTAGGAATCTTTTTGTCAATATTGGGGATATGTTTCTTAACTTCTCAACTAATCTTGACAAACAATATCTAAACTTTCTTTATAGAAAATTACTGAGTATGCAAACAAAGACTTGTCATCCACTATAATTAATATGTGAAGGAGAAACAAAACAAAACGTGTGTACTTTTAAATCATCATTCACATCTCTTTTCTTTAAATCCCACATAAGCTTTTATATAAATTTTTTACTTATTTTGTTCAAATATAAAATGTATCAATTTTTTTCCATACAGATATAGTCCCCTGAGAATACAAAAATCTATGAGTGAGGGATATATTTGCTCTATTTTAATAGCAGTTTGAAATGTCAGTGCTTTTTTTCAAGGATACAGTTTTGAGTCAAATGTGCAGCATTATGTCTTTTAAAAGAGCTAATATTTTGAAATCATTGATGTGATTTTCTGTGATGACCATCATTAAATAAAACATTAAGAATGAATAACTAGCTATCAATTTTAATAAATGCATTATATATTATTAAAATATTAATATCAATACAATATCTTAAATTGCTCTTAGTGGCAGTGTATGAAATTAATAGAAGTATAATTATGCCTTCTTCTGGTACATGTCTGAAACACTAAAATTAAATATCTAATTATGTGCACTGGAAGGACCAACAAATAAGTAAACAAATACATAAGTCTTTGTGCTGTTTTCATAATGCCTTTTACTTCTATTGCCAAATTGAAAAAAAAAAAACTTTTTTTCTGAGGCAAAATTCTTTGGGTGTAGATAAACCTTCACTTTCTTTCAGAGTTTTTGTATTCAGTTTTTTAAAATAGACATTATTCTTAAAGCAGTTTTAGGTTTACAGCAAAATTGAGCAGAAAGTACAGTTTCGTGTATACCCTCTCCCCCAAGACATAGTCTTTCCTACTGTCAATATCCTTCACCAAGGGTATATGTTTGTTACGATCTATGAACCTACATTGATACATCATTATCATCCAAAGTCCATAGTTTACATTAGGATTTATTCTTGTTTTATAGTATATGGTTTTACAAATATATTACATGCCATTGTAATTTAAAGTATAATTTCACTGCCTTGAAATCCTTTGTGTCCCTACTATTCATTGCTCCCTCCTTGCTGACAATCACTGATATTGTTTTAGCATACTTTTTTATTGTCATATAATTGGAACCATAAATTATGTAGCCTTTTCATATTGGTTTCTTTCACTTAGTTATATGCATTTTAGTTTCCCCCCATGTCTTTTCATGGCTCGATAGCTCATTTCTTTTTAGCACTGAATAATACTTCATTGTCTGTATATATTACAGTTTACTTATCTATTCACCTACTGAGGACCTCTTGGTTCTTTCTAAGTATTGGCAATTATGAATAAAGCTGCTATAAACATCCATGTTCAGGTTTATTTTTACGTGTGTTCATCTATGTGAAGGGCATGTTTTCAGCTCCTTTAGGTGAGAGAGAAATTGCTGGATCATATAGTACGAACATGTTTAGTTTTGTAAGAAATCACCAATCTTCCAAAGGGGCTACACCATTTTGCATTCCCACCAACAATAGGAATTCCTGTTCTTCACATCCTTCTTAGAGGCATTTTAGACTTTCGCCATTTTAGTAAGTGTGTAGTAGGTCTCTTTGTTGTGTTAATTAGTGTTTTCCTGAATATATATGATGTGGAGCATCTTTCCATATGCTTATTTGCCATCTCTGTCTTCTTTGTATATCTGTTTATTCATATATGTTGGCCATTTAAAAATTTGGTTGCTCATTTTCTTATTGTTGAGTTTTAAGTGTTTTTTATTTACTTAGGACAACAGTCTTTTGACAGATATATATTTTGCAAAAATTTTCTTCCAGTGAATGGATTGTCTTCTTATTCTCTTTACTTGTATCCAATTTTAACTTTTACTACAGCTATACCACCTGGAGTCACGCATAAATCAGTGTTATATAAAATACTTGACTAAATGTCTGTTCATTCTAGAATACTAGCTTTAGTGTCAGATGCACTTTGATTCTAATCCCACATCTTCCACTGACTGATTGTGTGATCTTTAAATTACTATCAAATCCTTTTAATATTTATCTCATCAGATGATTTCTTGTGAGAATTAAATAGCATTTGTGTTGTCAAAGCTCTGTCAGAATTTAAGGAGCAGAACAATATATGCAGATACACAAGCCAACGAGGTGATATTAGAAGAATACATGAGGAATTTATGAAACAGTGCAATTTCAGCTGCAGTAGTCAGAGCTCATGGGGGCTGCAACTCTGTTCAGGGGCTATACAATCATTTAGCACACAGTAAAGTCATATGGACTCAGTTCTTTATTGCTTCCTTAGCAGGAGCTATAAATTATTTGTTATTCTAGTGCTTCCATGCATCATAATGGTTTTTCCTGACTCCACTATTTGTGTGCTTCAGCTTCTGATATTCTTATACACTACCTATCCTCTATCTTCATGTTTTACACACAAAGTCTTCAAGAAAAAAGAACTGATTCATTTGGTTCACAAAACTTATACACCAAAATAATTATTAAACTGCTGCTTCATCTATAGTTGGACAACTTTGGGTAAGATATTCATTGCATGCGCAATTAGCTGTTGCAGGAATGCTGAAACCTTGGGCTCAGCTGTAGCAATAAAATTTCTCTGTGCTTTTCAAAAATATTTCATTAAAATTGAAAAAATAGATATAATATTTATGTATAAAATACGTGTCATTTTGCACTATTATGCCTCAAAAATACTGCATTTCAATCACACTGTCTTTATATCCTAAATTAGCAAGCATGTCGCTTCCACAGGGTCTTTGGTTTTGTCCTTTACGTTGCTGGGAACACATTTTCCTAGATATTTTCATAACTGGTCTGTTTGAATAATTCAGGACTCTCCTTAAATGTACTTTCTAAAGTGTTAGACTTTCCCTGGACAACCATCTAAGGTCACTCCCTATTCAATGACCATGTTTTATTTTCTCTACACTACACCCCACTGTCTAAAATTGTTTACTTTTTTGTTTGTTGGCCCATTGAAATATAAGTATCATCAAACCCTGAACTGTGGTCACTTTGTAATGCTAAATTGCTGGCACCACACACTGACTAGGACAGAGGAGGTGCCTCTTAGGTGATTTTGAATACATGAATAACTTATTGGCAGGCACTTAGAACAAAATACTATAAAACACCTTGTACGATACAAGAGTTGATTCTGATAAATGCTCCCTAAAATTTAAGTGTGAAAATATTATATATTTTAAAATTTTTGAAAATAGAACTTGCGTATATTTCCTCAGTGTGTGTAGGCATTGTTTGTTGTTTGGTTTTTCAGGACCACTGAGTGTACTAAAAGACCTGAAACTCTGTTTGGGTGGGAACACTCCACAAATCCAATCACAAAAGCATCTAGCTTCAATGCTCTCAGCAGCAATTAAAAAAAAAAATCACAACAAGAAAAATTCAGACAAAAACAAAAATAAAACAAACAAATGAAAAATAACATTCTTTAAATTTTTTGAAGTCTAGAAAGACCCATATCCTTTTAAATTTTCTATAGTTTCTCACATGGTAACAGTTTATTGGATAAGGAACCTTGGATCTCCTCAAAATAAATAGATAATAACATTTCACTTTTGTATAGAAAGCAATTGATAGTTATCCTTTCATTAATTTTTATGACACTATTTTTTGACCCATACCACATTATGTGTATGTAAGACTAAAAAAGTAAAAATAGAATGTGAGGGGAGGTACAGAAAGAAAAAACAGGAATAGAACCAATAAAAATGCTCATATTACTACTTAAGGAGTGTTAGCATTATCTTAAGTATTAAAATGCAAAGACAAATTTTTGCTTCTGTTGCAACTGCTTTTGCCATTTTTGTCAACAAATCTTTGTCTGTGCCTATGTCCTGAATGGCATTGCCTAGATTTTTCTTCTACAGTTTTATAGTTTGGAATTTTACATTTAAGTTTTCAATCCATCTTGAGTAAATTTTTGTATAAGGGAAAACCAATGCCCCCTGTCAGCAGGAAGTAGCTAAGACAGGTCGTCATCCATAATCTAATGGCAGTTAGATGTACCTTTTCAGAGGGGGACATGATATAGGAGGGAGGCAGGGAAGTGCTGGGTAGAGAAGACTGGGGTCCCTGGTGAGGGCTCCACCCTCAGGCCTGTGTCCATGGACCTAAGTGAGGACAGGCACTCCTGTTGTGGTAAACAAAGGCATATAAATAAAGCCAAAAGACTACATCAGTGCCAGATTATGAAAGACTTGATGGTGACAAGGAATTAGTTTTTTTCTTTGTGGACTGTGGGAAGCCACTGTCACCTTAAGGAACTGGTATAACATGATTGTGAATATTAAAATATTAAATTTGATAAGGATAGAGGATGCTTAATTTGTAGACTAAGTTGACTATCTTGGAATAAAAAGAAAAAAAGTAGCATATACAGTATAATTTCATTAATATATATCAAGAAAGTGTCAGCTAATCATAGTAACTGAAAAAAATGATTTGTGATTGGATACTGAGGGATTCCCAAGGGGCGAAATCTTCAGGGTATTGGAAATATTCATATCTTGATTGTGGTGATGGTTATGGGTATATTCAAATATAAAAATTGTCAAAGTATATGGTTTAAATATGTGCAGCTCACTCTATGTCAACTACAACTCAATAAAGCTGTTACAAGAAAATCACATATCAAAAGCAAAAATGAAATGTAAAAAGAAAGACAAAATTTAATGCATGAAATACAAATGATAAAAAATATTTAAAAATCATAAACTAAAATAATGATAAATTAGAGTTTTATCACTAACGTCAATTTTCATTAAAGCCTTCAATGCTCAATAAAATTATTTTGCTTATTTTTCTAACTTCCAACTGAAATTCACATGACATCATGAATTTAATAATTTTTTCACTGTATCCAAAAGGGTATCTGGCACACAATAAGTGCTTAAAACATAACAAAATGAATAAGTTAAAAAGAATGACTTCAAAGCAGTATCAACAAATTGATAAGGAAAAATCATTATTATGTATTTAAAAATAATGAAAGAGGGAATATTTTTAGATTAAAACCCAAAAGATAGGGAGTGTTTGAGATTTAGGAAATTACATATGAAATGATAGATATAAAAATGAGAAAGTATTTTTATGAATTGAAGAAATTATTTTCAATCTGCAGAATAAAAGGGGCACACTATGTAGCAAGAAAAAAAATGTTGAAAAATCTATATTGACATATGTGGTAAACCACGTTATTATTCAGCAAATAATTCCTTCTTACCCTTGGTAATTTCCTTTGTCCTAAATGCTACTTTTTCTTATTTGCTACCATTTTATTTCCATCTAAAAAACTCTGTTTAGCAATTTTTCAAAAAAATAACAGGTTTTTCTGCAATGAATTATTTCAGTTTTCTTTGATCTGAGAATGCATTTACTTCACCTTCATTGCTAAAGAATATTTTTACAGGATATAGATTTCTGGGATGATAGTTGATTTATTTCAGCTCTTTAAACATTTTCTATTAGTTTCTTCTGGCCTTTGTGGTATTTGAGAAGAAATATACTGTCATTTGAATTGTTGTTAACCTGTAAGTAGTGTATAATTTTACACAGGCTGCTTTCAGGATGCTTTTTTCTTTGTAACCAAAGATTTTTTTTTTAGCAGTTTGATTATGATGTATCTCAGTATCAATTCTCTGCGTATCTACTGTTTGGAGTTCAGTGAGCTTCTGGAATCTATATGTTTATGTGTTCTGCCAAATTTTCCAGACTTTTAAAAAACTTTTTTTTTGTATTTTTCTATGTAAATCTTTCTCAATTTAGAAAAGTGGTCTCTCAAAGGAAGCCGATGTTCTGTTCTTTTTTATCCATCTTTGTTGGTCAGATTGGACATTTTCTCTTTCTTATTTCAACTTTTATGTTCATGTAAAAGTTTGTTTCTTGGGTTCATTGTATGATGTTGAGCATGGGGTTACATGTTAAAGTTTGTTTCATGGGTATATTGTATGATGTTGAGCTTAGGGGTACAAATGATCCCTTCACCCAGGTGGTGAACATAGCACCCAATAGGTAGTTTGTTTGTTTTTGTTTTTGTTTTTGTTTTGAGACGGAGTCTCGCTCTGTCGCCCAGGCTGGAGTGCAGTGGCATGATCTCAACTCACTGCAACCTCCGCCTCCCGGGTTCACGCCACTCTCCTGCCTCAGCCTCCCCAGCAGCTGGGACTACAGGCGCCCACCACCATGCCCGGCTAATTTTTTTGTATTTTTAGTAGAGATGGGGTTTCACCACTTTGGCCAGGATGGTCTTGATCTCCTGACCTCGTGATCCGCCCGCCTCGGCCTTCCAAAGTGCTGGGATTACAGGCGTGAGCCACCGTGCTCGGCCCCCAATAGGTAGTTTTTTAAGACC
This sequence comes from Homo sapiens, assembly GCF_000001405.40. Lineage (NCBI taxonomy): Eukaryota > Metazoa > Chordata > Mammalia > Primates > Hominidae > Homo > Homo sapiens. The sequence goes on along the minus strand of NC_000005.10, from coordinate 99,909,743 downwards.
CTCCCATTCCTCTCTTCACCCTCTGATTTTCCCCAATGTCTATTGTTTCTTTCTTTATGGCTATGTGTACTAAATGCTTAGCTCCCACTTATATGTGAGAAATGTAGTATTCGATTTTTTGTTCCTAATGTTAATTTGTTTAGGATAATAGCCTCCCAGCTATATCCATGTTGCTTTAAAGGATATGATTTTGTTCCTTATGTATGGCTGCATAGTATTCCATGGTACATATGTACCATATTTTCTTTATCCAATCCACTATTAATGTATATGTAGGTTGATTCTTTTTCTTTGCTACTGTAAATAATGTTGCAATGAACATACAAATGGATGTGTCTTTTTGGTAGCATGATTGATTTTCTTTTGGATACATGCCCAGTAATGGGATTGCTGGGTCAATTGACAGTTTTGTTTTAAGTTCGTTGAGAAATCTCCAAACTGCTTTCTCAAGTGGCTGAATGTACAGATCTATCTCACTGACTCCTTTGCTATCTCCCTCAAGTTATTAAATCCCAAATGTAGGAGATTCTTGTTTTTCTGGGTTTAGATTGTCTTATTAAGTTTTTCACCTATAAATTCTCATTTGATTTTTAAAAATGTTTCCATTCCTTATATCATTTATTACTTTGCTGAGAATTTCTCTTTTCATTTGTTTCAAGGGTGTTTGTTTTTGTTTGTTGGAATATTTTTACAAGGTGTTTCTTTAAGCCTCTCAGATAAATGTAACATCTGTTGTTTCAAATTTGATGTCTTGTTGATTGTCTTTTCCCATGTAAATTGATATTTTTCTGTTTCTTTTTATGCCATTAATTGTCTGTTGTTCATTTCCGATAGTATGTTGTGAGATTTTGGTGACTTTAAAAAATTCTGTGGTACATGCTGGTATTTTTGTTGTTTTGACATAAAATCAACCTAGTTGATTGAAACTATGTTCTGTAGGTCATAGCTTCAATATGAGGATTGTTTTAAAATTTTTGCTTGGCTATTCAAAGCTGGTTTATCTATGGCCTACCCACCGTGTAGTCTGGGCTTTGGCAGTGGTTTATGTCATAGTTTGGTTTCCAGTGTTTGTGCATGCCATTTGAATCAGATTCACATTTGCAAACTTCAGGGTTGAGCTCAGGAGTTCATAAACAACTTTCTGGGCTTAATTTCCCAGGTTTGACTCTCTCTCTGATGCCCGTTGTACACTGTGGTTCTCTGCGATTTCTTTTTTTTCATCCTTTGGCCAGAGAGCTGGGCCTTCATTTACCTAGATCTGTCATAAACTTCCCACATCTGTGCCTATGTATGAGGCTAAGAGGCAAGAGAACAAAGAGAGGGAAAGAAAAGGAACAATAACAGCAGAGATTTTCCCATCCTCTTGAGGCCACCATCGTCTGGAGAGAACATTTCGCTCCCTCTGAGTCTTAGATACTGCAGCCACCCATTCTCTCTGCTGCTGCTCCTAGTATAGGATGGACTTGTTCGGGTGCTGAGGTATAGAAGAAAAGAGAAAATCTTAACAATTGATAATTTATTCAACTCTCTCTAAATCTCAGAAGACCATTGTTCCTCTCCTCAAGCCAGAACCAAAAGACTTTTCCTCAAGCTGACAGGCAAGCCATGCTCACTCCCACATCTCAAGCTGCATTGAGTCCAGGTAAGGGAAAAAATGACAAAGTCACCTCTGCTTTGGTGATACTTTGAATTCTGTTTTCATTCCTCAATTCACTTCCTACTATTAACTTTTCAAGGCCTTCAAATACATGCTCCGTGCATTCTGTCCAGATTTTATGGCTGCATTCACTGGGAGATACAGGGCAGGGTGTATTTACACCTACATTACATAGAACCAGAAATTTTGAACTTATTTTTATTTTCAATAATTTTTTTCAAATTTTGTCAACAAGAGCCATCATTAGTCCTAAAAAGAGATATCACTGAATTTGGAAATTCAGAATAACGAATTTTTAAAAATCACTTTAACACTTTATCTGTAGGATCTTCATCTATTATAACTCTTTTTTTTTTTTTTTTTGCTGTGGTCGTATGGAAAATTAGTCACAATTCATTTTGCCAATTAATGTGCATTGCAATTGGGACAAATTCCTGTAAACCTTGGCATTTCATTTCTTCAGGAGTAAAAATGAATGAGTCAGGGCAAGATTTTCTAAATTATTAGTTTCAATTCAAATTATTTTATTTAAAAATAAATTAAAAAAGTCAAAAATTCTAGCTTTTTAGTGTTTATTACCTCTCTATGGCATGTTAACCTTGGATTTTTTTCTTTTTGATGCTAAAAATATATTCAGTTCTATATTAAACTTATCTTATTCACTGATATGGTGAAGTTTCTGCTTCATGAGAGCAGAACTGTGCAACATCTCTTTTTAACTCCACATTCATTTATGACATGTTGGTAAGTTGAATGCAGCCAGAGTAGAAATATTTACCCACCAACAGTTATTATTAAATGGAACGAATCCGGTTTTTTTCTTTTGGTTCTTTCTTTTTTTAACTGGTTATTAAATATTTACTAGGACCACACTCCTTGTACTTCTCAAGAATAGGAATTTAACTTTATAGATAGAAAAATAATTTTATAGATGGCAAATGTTAAAGATACATTAGGATATAGATTACATATATCAGTTCTTCTGGCAATACAATTTGCTGTCACATAATTTGGCTATGACTTTTGAAATCTTGCCTAGCATAATCAGACACACTGTCAGATTCTGTTTGTAAATAAATTGAAATTGCACAAGTAAGTTGTAGCTTACATAGCCAAAACCTTGTCCTTTTTTCAAAGCCTCTACTAATTGTGCTAGGAGCAATGCTGGCAAATATTGACGATAGAAACTGTAGATGCAGCTTATATGCTACATCCAACTGTAAGTCTATCTGAAATGGGAGAAATTTTTGCAGCAGTTCTAGTAAATTTGTTTCCAAGTAGCATTCAAGTAGAAGAGGCTGGAAACATATTTTATGTGAATCACCTTGATGGAAACTAATCTTTTCCTTATAATAGTTCTTCCAAGAAGGTAGAGTTATCAAGACATATCTTCTCTGAAATGTGGAGAGAAGTTAGTTGATGGAGGGAAAAAGGGAGGTGCACATTAGTTTTATACAGGAGTTGGGAAGTGATGAATGGCTGTCATCCAAGGCACATTTGCCCTGGTGATTTTATTATAGTACCACAATTCAAGTTATAGTCATCTTGTAGAATAAACACAAACCCAAATTCATCAAAACAAGAATGAACCATTTATTAGGGCGATAGTTATATAAACAAATCTAAAGATTACTATATGAAAACAGAACAGCAACCATACTTTGCCACAGTACATGAACCAGGCTATACAACCAGGCAGACTGACCTGAAGTGCCAAATCATAATCAGAAGGTTATTGAAAAATATTGAATAAAATGAATGTATGATGGCATCGGTTCAAAGACAGCCTGATTCATTCACTTCTACAATAGGATTTATCTAATAACTGAAGCTGTAATTATTTAAATTATTGGCTGAGATAACCAGCACTGTCTCCACATTAGGGATGAACTTGAGTTTCGGAATGCACCATCCAAAATCTATTAGATGTTACTGTGACTCAGCTGATACGACAACTCTATCTGATATTCAGATGGAGGCATTCTCTTATTTTGTGTTGCTTTTTAAAAATTACGGTGTTTTAGACCAGCTGCAATGGCTCACGTCTGTAATCCCAACACTATGGGAGCCTGAGGTTGGAGGATTGCTTGAGCTCAGGAGTTTGAGACCAGCCTGGGGCAACATAGCAAGACCTCATCTCTTTTTTAAAAATTATCTGGGCATGGTGATGCACACCTACAGTCCCAGATACTCAGGAGGCTAAGGAGGGAGGATCACTTGAGTCTGGGAGATGGGGGCTTCAGTGTGCTGTGATCACACCACTGTACTCCTGCCTGGACAACAGAGTGAGACCTTGTCTCAAAATAAGTAACTGAACAAATAGAAATAAAATAAAAATTATAGTGTTTATCCAGATTAAAAAAAATTGTTCCTCTTCCCCTATATCTGAAATTGTAGAAGGAAAGAACAAACTTATTTATAAAAGTAGAATTTTTCCCATTATTTTGACCTGCATTAATAATATTAAAGTAACTTTGTAAGCCTGACACGGTTGTGTCTTATAATTAGTGTGCAGAAGATGCTGTGATATACTTATTTCTATTTATTTCTCTAATCCCTAACTCCAAAAGCATTTGATGCAATTAACAGGTAGAAATACAGCAAAAAACTTAAGATTCAACAAGATACAACAATCCTCTTTGGCTATGTGACAATTGTGGTTGTGTAGACTCCTTTTTGCTTCTGAATATATAAAAAAATTATATTGAAATTTTTAGGAAATGCAAACATAAGCTCAAAAGAAAATACTCAAATATCAGAAATTAACTCTACCAAATAAACCTTACTCATGAGTTGAAAGAAAAATAAAGAAAGCTTGTTTTCTGGATGGTATTGAAGGGGAGAAAGAAAAGTGATTTGGTAACAGAAAATTAACTTTTCTAAAATGTAATAGAAAATATATGATTACCTGATTATTTTCTACCTTGAATCATTGACCACAGATTGAAAGACCGTCTGTATAAGAAGCTGGATTTTTTTTTCACATTACAAGTGGGCTAGTTTGGACAGAAATTGTTTCATTTTCATAGAATTTCCTGAAAAACGTAAGACATAGCTGATACATATTTGTAAAATAAAGTTGTATATTCTACAGCCTTAATAATGTACTGTCTGGTTTCAAAAAGATATAAGAAGGAAAAATTCAATAAATTGGTTTGCTGTAAGGACTGTGGACATCCCAATTGATGATGAAATAATTCTCATTGCTCTACTTACAGCCTCAACAGAGACAATTTTACATTTCAAGTACTTCACTTGAAATATTATATTTTTATATGTCAAATTCTGTGACCAAAACCCAGATCAAACTAGCTTAACCAAAAAAAAATTGAATATATCGCCTCACACAGCTGGGAACTGGGAATTTGGTGGTTTCTGCTAGCTTCAGCTATGAATAGACCCATGGACTTAAATTAGTCTCTAGCTTTTGTCTCCCTCCCTACTTCTTTCTTGCCTTCTCTAGTCTTTGCTTAGCTTGATTTTTCAAGGATAATCTCACTACTTGTTGAAATATATGACTATCAACTTCACTGATGCAAATCTTCTCAGTCTAATCTCCTTCTCAGGAAAATATCTTTCCTGATAGCTCAGGCATAACATCTCCAGTCAGATTTTTATTTTCTCAGCTTAAGTTACATAAACCTCTGAAACAAACAAGTGGCCAAACTTATGAGGTTGTCTAGTTGCTTTGATTTGTGTCACATGCCTACCTCACCCTTCAGGTTATGAATTGGCTTCATCTAAACTGTATGGTATGTGTTCCCATAAGGAAAGAGAGAGAAGGAAACAATTACAACATCTGATGTCCACTGTAGTGCCCTTTCCAAAGGCATTTTCCATTGCTCGAGGACATTCACTTTCCAATATCTCCATTTTTCTCTCTACACCGAAAAGAATAGGGTGTAGAGAGAAAGATGGGCTAAATCGATGAGCACTCTTTCCCCTTCTTTGAGTTGCATTTAGGTAACAGAATCCCTGGACCTGGATCTGCAGGATAATGAGAATTAGGTTGATTATTCTACCAAATTTTCCATGTACAGTCACTTAAAGCTAATTATCTTCATAGGTCATAGATTCTCTCAAGGTGCACTTTTTCGCATTAATCTCACCCCATCATTAATTATTCAAATCTGATAGCGCTCTTTGTCTCCTCTTGGAAATCTGATTGGTCACTATATTTGTCTTTATTGGTTTCATGATTTTTAATGTTTTCAACTATTAATTTTGTATTTTTTGTTTCCTCCTTTTAATGTTGATTAGTTTATTGTTAATTTTGTAGTTTACTAGTTGAAGCCTTACTGTCTTGTCCATTTTTGCTTCTATAACAAAATACCACAGACTGGCTAATATGTAAATAATAGAAATGTATTTCTCACGGTTCTGAGGCTGTATGTCCAAAATCAAGGCATGGGCAAGTTTGATGTCTGGTGAGGCCCTGGCCTGTGCTTCAAGATAGGAACTTGTTGCTGTATTCTCATATGGGAGAAGGTATAAGGGCTAAAGGGCCTAACATTTTGTCTTCAAGCTCTTTTATAAAAGTCCTGATCCATTTTTGAGGGAGGACCTCTCATGACTTAATCACCTTTCAGATGGCTTCAACTCTTAATACCATTGCATTGGGAATTAAGTTTCAACATGAATTTTGGAGGGGACAGAAACCTTCAAACAGCAAGGCTGATTTTACATATTTTTTATCTTTTCATAGGTCTGGATACTGTTTTCTAACTTCAGACTTAGAAACAGCCCATCTACAAGAAGTTCATAAAGTCTAGCTAACTCCTTTCCTCCACTTGTCATACGTAAGCTGCCCCCACATATGGCTCCAGCTTGCTGCTACCTTGTCCGTGGGAGCAGCCCCTAATGTGGCCCTGTCTGGCAGCCTTCTCTAATTCACAACTGTAAGTAGCAGAGATTTTCCTTTCATCTATCTGAGTGTCAGTGTGTTGTGTTAAACCATCAAGAAGATCTTTAAATATTAAAGAACATATTACTCCTTGTTTGTCATCCATATTTTTCATTCTCTCAACAGCTTTGTCAATTACTATTTTAAACCTCTTTTATCCTAAAGTATTTCATGCTAGTAATCTGGGATGTGTCTAATTATATAAATTCATACAATAATTTATTTATGAGGTGATTAGCATAGTTTCCCGTACATGTCTTTCATTGTCTTCCAATTATTTATTCTGTTTTATCATTCCAAATGGCTTTCTAATAGATTGGATTAGGGTTTTCATTTCCTTATACCCTTTTTCTATAGGAAATATATATCTTTGCTCTTTGATATGTGACCCTCTAGTTTCCTTCTAGTAAGGTGTATTATAGTTGCCTGATCCATAAGTGTTGGGCTTAGTTTGCCATTTGATTTGTTTTGGCCTATAGGCTTTGAGTTGAAGTGACAGTGTGACAGTTCCAGGACAAAGTATTGAAATGCAGTACAGGTCAAGTATTTCTGATTCAAAAATCTCAAATCCAAAAGCTCCAAAATGTAAATTTTTTTGCACTGATTGATGCTCAAAGAAAATGCTCATTATAACATTTAGGATGTCATACTTTCATATTAGGGATACTGAACCTGTAAGTATAAAATGTAAATATTCCAAAATCAGAAAAAACCTCCAAAATCTGAAGCATTTCTGGTCCCAAGTATTTTGGATAAATAATACACAGCTTGTATGTATTTCTGCTCTTCTTATGCTCTGCTCTAGTACATGCCATGAGAAGAAACATTGGCTGACTAGGCTTTTATCCAAGGACAAGGAGAGATATGAGGGGTAATTGTATTCATTTTCTATTGTTGTAATAATAAATTACCACAAATTTAGTGTTTATACAACATGACACAAATTTATTACCCTACTAGATCAAAAGCTTATCTGAGTTCTTGCTGGGCTAAAATCAAGGTGTTGGCAGGGTTGTATTCCTTTTGGAGGATCTAAGGGAAGATTTATTTATTGATCTTAAAAAATTATACTTAATAGAGACCTTTGTTGTTGTAAGACTGCTGGCTGTCAGATGAAGGCCAGCCTTGTCTTTTAGAACCAACATACATTTTTTTTTTTCTGCTGGTGGCCTCATTACTCCATCACCTAGGCCAATAATGATAGAAGGAGTTTCTCTTACATTTTGAATATTGCCTCCTTGTTCTCTCTCATCACTTTAACACAACCAGGGGAAGTTCTCTCATTTTAAGTATTCGAATAATTAGAATGGGCCCACTGAATTAGTTCAGTATAATTTCCCCATTTCAAAATCCATAAACTTAATTACATTTGCAAAGTCCCTTTTGCCCTGTTAGGTAACATATTCATAGATCTGTGGATAAAGGTGTAGATATCTTTGGTGAGGTGTTATTTTGCCTAGCACAATAACTGACAGCCAATTAGTATCCTGGAGAATGAAGAAGAGCCTCTCAATAGAATCTATTCTGAAGCCTTGGGGAACAGAAGTGAACCCTATTTGCTGGAGCCAAGTCCACCCATCTTACAGACTCAAGCGAAACTGTTAAATTGGACTGAATCTTGATTCTCTAAGCCAAATTTGGCCTGCATATCCATAAACATAATAAATATGTGTTGGTATTTGACAATTTTGTTACAGCATTATTACATTATTACAGAATAAGTACAAAAGTAACAGTAGGAGCAACATGAATGTTGTTATATAGTGGATCCAGCGGTATTTGTAGTATCTATGACAGATAGATATAATGTATAGAACTTTGGTAGTCAGCATTAATCCTTATGATTTTATAGCTAAGCCTTGCACATTTTCTGTGTATCACTCCTGAGAAATATTTCTGGCTTAATACTGTGCCCTGGAAAATGACTAAGTGCTTCACCATGAGCCATCAAATTATCATATAACCTAAGGTTTCCATTTTGAAATCAGTGTTTTCTGATCTACCAAGTCATAAATTTGGATGTGCACAGCAACATTCTATAATCAAATAGAAGTGTGATATATAAAATCAAGCTCAAGGGACTCCACAAAGCACAAGTAAGTTCCATTAGTAACTAGCTCAGTTTCTCATGATATATTCCTGATACATAGCCCCTTCTTCGACCCACATGTATGACCTCACAAGAAATTCCCTATAACTAGCTAGCTGAAGAAAAATAGTTGAACTGGTTTACAAATGATTCCGGCATTTGTATTATTATTATATTTCAGCATGATCTAGTGGTGGCAAATAGCAACATTACAGCCCCTATCAGGAGGACCTCCAATGCTACTGGTGAAGGAAAATCTCAGTAGACAGAAATTCAAGCAGCATATCTAATTGTTCACTTTACCAGGAAGAATAAATAATCTGAGCTATAAATCTGCAGTGATTCATGAGCCATGACTCACATGTTGGCTGGATGTTTATGGAGTAGAAAAGAAAACAATTCACAAATTGGTTACAAGACATCTAGGGAGGAAAAAAGTAAAAGGATATCTGAGAATGGGCAAAAGGTGAAACCACAACAGTTAATTCCCTCAATATCCAGGTAGGAAAGATGATCAGTTCTGTAAATATCTGATAGCCTCTTTTCCCAGAAATGCCTGCTCTTTCTCAATGGCTTCTTGAGTTAAGTGGCCATGACAGCAGGAGTAGAACTTAGCAGGGAGCTCTAACACAGATACTTTCTCTATTAAAGATCTGATTTGATGCAGCTTACTTGGCAGTAACAGTGATTAGTCATGAACTCCCAATATAATAACATCCCTGGAGACAAACACGTCACCTAATAGCAGGTTGGTTATATTGCATACCTTCATATTGTATATGGCAGGATATGTATTCTTTTAGACTAGATATTTGTTGTGAATATGTATTTCCCTTTCCTGCCTTATAGAATACCCTAAAAATAATAATGTAGCATAATTTACCATAAAGCCTTGTCATTCATTACCTTAAAACTATTTTGTAGAGCAGCAGAATGATATTTGAAGAACAGTACCAACAGGGAAAACCGTTTGTGTGGCGGGGCAATGTCCTAGATTTGTTATATGCTCTGAACCATTGATCAGTGTTACAGTGCGCTTTCTCTTACAGCCAACATTCATGGGCCCAAGGGCCAAGGAGTAGACATGAGAGGAGTTGTTCACTGGATGTTAATTTCCCAATAGCAAAATTTTGTTTTCTATCTCCACAACATTAGGCTCTGATGGTTTGGAGATTGTTGTCCCTGTGGGAAGTATGCTATTACCAAGGCATGCAAGATTGTGTCTGTTAAATCAGAAGCTAAGCATTTTTGTATTCCTTCTGCCACAGAAGCGTTTGGCGAAAAGAAGGGATTTACTGTATTAGCTGGAATAATTTATCATGATTGATTTTCTACTGTTCAGTGGAGGCAGAAGATTCTCTTACCCCCCGGGAAAAGAACCATGACTAGCTGTCCCACTGGCTGAGGATGAAGGGAATGAGGACTGGGTAGTGAAAAGAAAAGTTACAGATGCCGACTATGAATATGAGATCATTTGCATAAACAAGGATTGTAGTAATTATCCATATTTTCTTCTTGCTTATATATATGCATATATATATTTTGTATCTATTAACAAATAATGTTTTAATCTTTCTCCCTATGGTTCCTTTATTATCTAATATAAACAGCATCACTAAAAATTGCTCATATAATTTAGTCTTTAAGTTTCAAGATACAAAAGAACGATTGTGACTGAACTAGAAAAGAAACAAAATTCATTCAGGGATAGATAGAATGTCATACAAGGTTTTGTATTTTCTCTTGATTATGTGTTTGAGCTTATAAGGGCCATTCTGAACTAGGTAAGAAAAGTATGATGGTATTACCTTTGGTCAGAACTGAAAATATGGATAAAAAGGGAGTTGTGGTTTGTTACTGCTGAGTCCAAAAATCCATGCATTGAGAAGGACCACTGGAGGCCGGTTGGGCATCAACACCACCAGGGAATTGATGGAGTTCCAAAGCCCCCCTCATTGTACAGTTCTTGGATAAGGCTCCCTTACGTGAGGAATTCAGGGTATTTGGAATACTGTAATGAAGGTGAAGTTATCATTCTCTGGGCAAAGGCAAAGTTCACACAGCAACATCCTTGCATGTTCTGGAGGACAACTGTTTTCACTGTTCCAGACTGGGTAATTTATGGTAGCTTCTTAGAAGTCCTCAAAGAACACAACAGCTTGCAGGCAGATGCCTGAGGACTTCTAATTCAGCTCTTCAGGTGAAAAACTTCAGTTCAAATTCTGTGACCTTCGGTGGGAACTCCCCAAACAATTAATGGAAAGTTTTCTTTTCTTTTTTTTTTTAATTATACTTTAAGTTTTAGGGTACATGTGCACATTGTGCAGGTTAGTTACATACATATACATGTGCCATGCTGGTGCGCTGCACCCACCAACCCGTCATCTAGCATCAGGTATATCTCCCAATGCCATCCCTCCCCCCTCCCCCCACCCCACCACAGTACCCAGAGTGTGATATTCCCCTTCCTGTGTCCATGTGATCTCATTGTTCAATTCCCACCCATGAGTGAGAATATGCGGTGTTTGGTTTTCTGTTCCTGCGATAGTTTACTGAGAATGATGATTTCCAATTTCATCCATGTCCCTACAAAGGACATGAACTCATCATTTTTTATGGCTGCATAGTATTCCATGGTGTATATGTGCCACATTTTCTTAATCCAGTCTATCATTGTTGGACATTTGGGTTGGTTCCAAGTCTTTGCTATTGTGAATAATGCCGCAATAAACATACGTGTGCATGTGTCTTTATAGCAGCATGATTTATAGTCCTTTGGGTATATACCTAGTAATGGGATGGCTGGGTCAAATGGTATTTCCAGTTCTAGATCCCTGAGGAATCGCCACACTGACTTCCACAATGGTTGAACTAGTTTACAGTCCCACCAACAGTGTAAAAGTGTTCCTATTTCTCCACATCCTCTCCAGCACCTGTTGTTTCCTGACTTTTGAATGATTGCCATTCTAACTGGTGTGAGATGGTATCTCATTGTGGTTTTGATTTGCATTTTTCTGATGGCCAGTGATGATGAGCATTTTTTCATGTGTTTTTTGGCTGCATAAATGTCTTCTTTTGAGAAGTGTCTGTTCATGTCCTTTGCCCACTTTTTGATGGGGTTGTTTGTTTTTTTCTTGTAAATTTGTTTGAGTTCATTGTAGATTCTGGATATTAGCCCTTTGTCAGATGAGTAGGTTGCGAAAATTTTCTCCCATTTTGTAGGTTGCCTGTTCACTCTGCTGGTAGTTTCTTTTGCTGTGCAGAAGCTCTTGAGTTTAATTAGATCCCATTTGTCAATTTTGTCTTTTGTTGCCATTGCTTTTGGTGTTTTGGACATGAAGTCCTTGCCCATGCCTATGTCCTGAATGGTAATGCCTAGGTTTTCTTCTAGGGTTTTTATGGTTTTAGGTCTAATGTTTAAGTCTTTAATCCATCTTGAATTGATTTTTGTATAAGGTGTAAGGAAGGGATCCAGTTTCAGCTTTCTACATATGGCTAGCCAGTTTTCCCAGCACCATTTATTAAATAGGGAATCCTTTCCCCATTGCTTGTTTTTCTCAGGTTTGTCAAAGATCAGATAGTTGTAGATATGCGGCGTTATTTCTGAGGGGTCTGTTCTGTTCCATTGATCTATATCTCTGTTTTGGTACCAGTACCATGCTGTTTTGGTACCAGTACTATGCTGTTTTGGTTACTGTAGCCTTGTAGTATAGTTTGAAGTCAGGTAGTGTGATGCCTCCAGCTTTGTTCTTTTGGTTTAGGGTTGACTTCGTGATGCGGGCTCTTTTTTGGTTCCATATGAACTTTAAAGTAGTTTTTTCCAATTCTGTGAAGAAAGTCATTGGTAGCTTGATGGGGATGGCATTGAATCTGTAAATTACCTTGGGCAGTATGGCCATTTTCACGATATTGATTCTTCCTACCCATGAGCATGGAATGTTCTTCCATTTGTTTGTATCCTCTTTTATTTCATTGAGCAGTGGTTTGTAGTTCTCCTTGAAAAGATCCTTCACATCCCTTGTAAGTTGGATTCCTAGGTATTTTATTCTCTTTGAAGCAATTGTGAATGGGAGTTCACTCATGATTTGGCTCTGTGTTTGTCTGTTGTTGGTGTATAAGAATGCTTGTGATTTTTGTACATTGATTTTGTATCCTGAGACTTTGCTGAAGTTGCTTACCAGCTTAAGGAGATTTTGGGCTGAGACAATGGGGTTTTCTAGATATACAATCATGTCATCTGCAAACAGGGACAATTTGACTTCCTCTTTTCCCAATTGAAAACCCTTTATTTCCTTCTCCTGCCTAATTGCCCTGGCCAGAACTTCCAACACTATGTTGAATAGGAGTGGTGAGAGAGGGCATCCCTGTCTTGTGCCAGTTTTCAAAGGGAATGCTTCCAGTTTTTGCCCATTCAGTATGATATTGGCTGTGGGTTTGTCATAGATAGCTCTTATTATTTTGAAATACGTCCCATCAATACCTAATTTATTGAGAGTTTTTAGCATGAAGGGTTGTTGAATTTTGTCAAAGGCTTTTTCTGCATCTATTGAGATAATCATGTGGTTTTTGTCTTTGGCTCTGTTTATATGCTGGATTACATTTATTGATTTGCGTATATTGAACCAGCCTTGCATCCCAGGGATGAAGCCCACTTGATCATGGTGGATAAGCTTTTTGATGTGCTGCTGGATTCGTTTTGCCAGTATTTTATTGAGGATTTTTGCCATTAATTCCACTCCTCAGCCAGTAGCAGAATAATGTAAATAACCCTATTCAGTTGCAATCAGTTTCTACTTTCCTTACTAAATCCAGACTGATATTGGATTGTAGCTCCTGGAGGATTGTAAATTGAATACATGTTTTCTGTACCATCTTAGTTATTAAAGCTGAACAATTGTTCAATCAACTGTCTATGAGGTCAAATTTTGCTCTTCAGTTCATATGGTGAAAAAGCTAAAAAGGGGAAATTGTTGGGAATTCTGGAACGACATGTTTCCCATGTCATCACCTCCCATCCTGCGTATGATTGGCAAAGTGTCCTCTCTTGACTATTTAGAGGTCTTTACTTATTTATCTAGGATATGGTAGCATTGATTACATATTTTTCTCCTCCTAATAACTGTACTTTCCTCTGAGAGTTTAGATCTGCGAAATGGTGATTCAATCTTCACTGAGATTTCTGGATATTTGCTACTTCAGTGATGGAGAAGGAAATAGAAAAAAAAAAGGAAAGAAAAACAACAAAAACCTTTATTTGTACAATTAAATAAACTATTTGTTAGTATTATAATTAATTAAATTTTTATCGCAATTAAACATTAACTCTTTAATGCCCAGGATTTTAGCTATATGTGGACATTAATATTTTTGCAGTACTCAATTTCTAAAACCATGTGAGATGTAATTTCATTAAAACAATATCTTGTGATAAAAATTTCTTTAAATAATTTTAGTGGGCTTCAAATATCTTCAAACTTTGATTTTTTTTTCCAAAACACACTTTCTTTGAAATATTGAAAATTATGTTTTCCGAAGAAGTTTTTGTTCAACCTGCAGTACAAAATTTAGAGATTGTCAGAGTCACAGCACTGAAATCCTTAATCCTTTGATGGTATGGCCCTAAATCATGCTGCTTACATGTTTGTTTTTTTTTTTTTTCCTCTTAACATGGTTGTGAGTAAATGGAAACATTCAAGCTGGGAAAATTGAGGTCTGTGCTGAGGATAGATAATCAGACATAATAGGAGCTGGAAACAGACTGTAGGTTATATAATTTAATATCGGTAACACCAACCGGAAAGTAGTCAATAGGAAATTATAAAATTTCACTGACAACATTTTGACAACGATGTATTCAATTCACTCAGTGTCGTCTACAATTGACCACTTACTTGCAAGAACTAGCAAGATATACTTACTTCTGACAGTAATCCTTGCTATTGATTTCCAAAGTCTGCTTCAGCTAAAGTCAATTGACATTTATATCACTAACATAGCAGAGATGAAATTTTGAGGAGGTTATTGCTCTGCCCTGAGGGGTAGCAGCAGCACAAAACATATAAAGCTTTGATGTGGGTTCTAAGGTAGAAGGATAGAAAATGTATGTGAAAGTAGCAGTTCTTTCTTTTCATACACCAATTTAGCTGCACAATGGACTACACTGTTGTAATTGGAGTGACTAAAGAGAACGGCAAATTTTAGTGAATGGATTTATAAGCCGATATCATCTGGGTGAATTCAGCTGTTAATAAGCATAATGGAGAAAGAGAAGTATCAAATTAAGTGTGATTAAACTGAGGAAATAAGCCTTTTAAGACTCTAAACATTTTCTTTGGAATCTAGATAAGAACCAAACCTCCCTGAATTCTCTGATATCTGTGCCTAAGCAATATAATAAAGGCAGTAACTAGCACGATTCAGTATCATTGTCTCAGTTATAATGCTATTAATGTTATTAAATTTGGATGGTTCGTCTCTGTTTCTTTGCTGCACTGATATTGCTATCATATTGGAAGATAAATTTAATTTCCCTTCCAATATTGCTGCAAACCTATTTGAAGATATGTTACAGAATCTACAGTCCTGCTCTTTTGGTAAGTTCCAGTGTTTATTTTTCTTTAATATTAATTAAATTACATTATTACCCACTGCATTACTCCCTTCAGTCCACTTGCTTTTGATGATTTAATAACTTCATTATAGCTTTCAGCCCGGTCTATAACAGATTTCCATTTTAACTCTCTTCCCTATTTATAATTAGTCTGATATTTAGAGCTCATTCTAGAAAGATTCCCATATCTATTTTGGTATTTTTATATTTTTTTAATTTTTATGCCCAATTATGAAAATAGCTACATTTAGACAAATTTGTATCCATCAAGTTGCAATAATGCCATTAGTATTATTTAAATTAAAAATTCAGTAAATATTTGATGATATCTACACTACTGAATAAACTGAGGATGTCATAGCATTTGCAAATAACTTTGTATGGTTTCTCAGTTACTTATAAATCTTTTTGGAAAAATTGGGGACTTAAGAAATGTTTTGAAATTCCATTTACTTTATAATATGCATTTAGTTAAATGGAGGCAATCCCACAACCATATGAGACGTATAGAAAAAGCTGGTTTGTACTACAAATCTATTTTGTTATGTACAGTAAAATAATTTTTGCAATGTAAAATAAAACTTCTACTTTATCGGGTGAATATATTTTTAAAATGTCACCAGATTTGAAGAGGATGAGAATGGTAAATATTTTTGTCCTTTTTTTTTTTTTTTTTTTTTTTTTGTAGAGACACTGTCTCTACATATGTTGCGCAGGCTGGTCGTGAACTCCTGAGCTCAAAGTATTTTTCTGCCTTGGCTCACCAAAGTGTTGGGATTACAGGCGTGAGCCACCACACCCAGACTATTTTGTCTTTTAAACTCTGTACAAGTAGTCTCTCATGAAGCAGATAACATAGATTTTGCTATAGGTAAGAAATTATAACTAGAGCTCAAAGGCCGTATACGATGATCCTGTTTTGTATAATACAAGGAAATAATAGTTTTATGTGTTTTTCAAGAAGATTAAGACAAATCACAAGGTTGTTAATAAACTAACATCATTTTTAATTTTTACCAAAATCACAGATTTCATAAAAATTTTATTATTAAAAATTTTTAGATGTAAAATTATGAAATGATAAAAGTCCTCTCTCCAGATAATCACATTATTTTAAAAACATAAATAAATGTTTACAATTCAAATATATTAAATATGTAAAATAAAAAGGAAAATTTCATATTCCCTTCCACAATTTTTTCTCCCACTTGTTTAATATACCTACTCTAAAAAATTGTGCATCCCACAAAAATAAACATGTCAGTTCATATATTTTTGATATAAAAATATAATTTTATGCTAGTTATTTTCAGCATAAAATTCACTACAATGTTTTCCATCTGTTGGTTCTTTATAATACATCATGATGGATATATTTTCATATCATCACATAATGATCTAACGCTTCATTATAAATAACTGTATTATACACATGTATACATACACAGATATTCACCAGAATTTTTAAACATAATGTCGGCTTATTTAACTTTATATTGTTACAATTATTTTGCTATTAATGCAATATGGGAAACCATACCCTTGTGTATGAAAGCATATTTTTGTAAGTATAACCCTATAGCAAATTACTATATGTGAGATGTATTGCTTGTAAAGTAAGTGCAATTTGAATTTGTATCTAAATTATCAGTTATGGCCCTGAAGGGAGTCAGATTTGAATGAATATACTCCCTAACTTTCTTCCTCTTTCTGTGTTCTCTCTTCTTCCTCTCATTTTATCTTTCAAGCAAAAAAATTGTGTCCTTTTTATCTACTTTTCTTTTTACTACTTCTCTTCTTCCTTTCTTTGCTGTCAATGTTTTGCAGGAAAGAAGTGCTGATTCTACTTTGTGGCTTTTGGACTTCTTGTCCTGATTCATAGCATTCCCCACTCAAGATCTTAAATACAAGAAGACTTTTTTTTTAACCTAGAACAGTGTTGTTCAATAAAAACAGTTTGTGAGTCACTCATATATTTTTAAATTTTCTGATAACCACATTAAAAAAAGTAAGAAGAAACAGATAAAATTAATTTTAATAATGTATTTTATTTAATTCCATACATCAAAAATACTATCATTTAAACATATAATCAATATAAAAATATTAATGAAATATCTTAGATTATTTTTATGTTTGCGTTTTCCTATTACAATATAGCTCAAGTTACAGTTAACTTTTTATTGGCAATGCTAGATCTCAATTTAAATTTTAAGTTTAAAATGTAGATTCACATATCTAGTTTTTCCAGTCACACCTAAATGTTTTCCAATAACTGAATTGAATATAAGTTTTACATTTAAATATAAGGTAAATCAAATTAAAATAGCTCATTTTCACTAGCTATATTTCAAGTTCTCAATAGCCACATGAGGCTAGTGACTACCATATTGGACAGCACAATTCTAAGATTATTTTGTTTGGATGGTTTATTCATCCATTTGAATGAGTTTAGAATGCAGTTTGATTTTTCCCCAGGTAATTAAGCATTTTTTAAAATTAACATCACATTTTAAAAATAAAACAAAATCTTTCTTTTGTAAATTAATCTGAAATGCTATCTTTATTGTGAGCAAAATCCTTAAACTCTAGGTCTATATCTGGGTTTCTTTTAAGTTTCATAAAATTGCTTGACTGTTTTTTTCCTCCTGCATTCTGTTATTTCCTAATGAATCAGATGGAACTCATGTAAGCCTTCTTTTTTATTTAAAGAACTATTATTATAAATTATTCCTAAAGTACTCTGAAGAATGGAGACATTTTTTCATGCTGGCTGACATTTAAATTTTAATACTGTCAGAGTTGATAAAACTGTAGTTAACCAACTGTTAAGTTCCTTCACATTCATTGAGAATTTTGGCTTTACTTCTTTATTTGTATTTTATTAGCTATATGTTTCCCATTTACAGGAATAAGATTTATCCTTAAATTCTTCAGTGGTAGAGAATGCTGAATTAGAGTCATGTATCCTCTCTTACTCATTATATGATGAAAAGATTTGCAGCACAAGTGAGAAAGTTGTGCTGCAGCTGAAGTGTTGTTCTGCTTGGCTCTTCTTCACTACTGTAAAATATTTTTCATCAAAATTAAATGACCATTTGGAATATAAAAATTGAGTGCAGAACTTCATCCATTGTGTCTAATTTAATACTGCATTTTCTATAACTTTTTCTTTAGGCTTGTGGACATCCCTTAGTGACTGTTACAGATTCCTGCAGGGGCAATCCTAATACTATAATCTCTCTAGTGGAATACAGGTATTTGAGCTTGGCTTTAATCAGGAAGTGGAGCATCTTTCTTCAATTTCTTTCACTTTTTAATTTTAATTCATTCAGTATCAGTTTTGACTTTTGGATAAAGTGATGCAGCGGAACATAATTTAATCCCCATTCTTTTCCACAGGTTTCAAAGTGATTTTAGCTGCCTTCATACTCATCATAAACGTGAATTCCACTACAGGGTGAGCATGCTGTTGCAGGGGAGACTCTGCAACATGCCTTTGTGGTCATGGGAGATATAACTCTTCAAAATGGTTTTATTTGTATAACGTAAATTATTCTGCTTGTCTTGTTCTCTCTTTAAGATTCATTTTAACAGTGTGTCACATTCAAAGAGCATTCATTCAACTGCAAAAGGCTTCAAAAATAATGTAAATTTTATGCAAGTTTTTTGAGCAGGAAGCCTGGAAAGCAGTGGAATTTCATCCTTATACACAGCACCATATTCTAAAATTCAACTTTGAGCAGCTTTTCCCTTAAAACCCCTCTCATCCTAGGGGCTACTCTAAGTCGTTATCTACCTGAAATTCCACTCTGTCTTCAATTCCTTCCTTTTGCCTTGCAGATATCCTCTTTTTGAAAAAAAAATAGGACTTTCTTTTTAAATGTAAACAAAATTTGCTTTTCTGTCCTTATTTTGCTTTTTTATTACTTCTTTTTTATATCCTCTGGACAAAAGAACCAGAACCATTCAGAAAAGAGAGAGGAAGAGGATATTCTGAATGCATGTATAGATTTTTTTTGTATTATACTTACAAATATATATTTGACGTGAACTTCCTTTTTCTAAAAATCACTAACTCTGTCACATAAAAATTTATCAGCTGGGCGCGGTGGCTCACGCCTGTAATCCCAGCACTTTGGGAGGCCAAGGCGGGCAGAACACGAGGTCAGGAGATGAAGACCATCCCGGCTAACACGCTGAAACCCCGTCTCTACTAAAAAATACAAAAAATTAGCCGGGCGTGGTGGCGGGCACCTGTAGTCCCAGCTACTCGGGAGGCTGAGGCAGGAGAATGGCGTGAACCCGGGAGGTGGAGCTTGCAACACGAGCAGGGATCGCGCCACTGCACTCCAGCCGGGGCGACGGAGCGAGACTCCGTCTCAAAAAAGACAACAAAAATTATCAAATTATTCTCCTTACAAAAATTCTATTTTCCTATAAATTTACATAAGTGCCCTTTATATTTATAAATGTCAGATATCTCTTCTCATATTTATCATTATTCACTATATTATTGGATTAAGATAATAAAATATTGTCTAATCATACATGGTCTTCCCCACAAAACTGATTCTTAGCTACTATCTTTTAATATTTTGGTTGATATCGCTTCTAAATTTATAAAATGCCCAAAAATGGAACATGTTTTGCAAATTTAGTAAATATTAATGTAATACTAAAGAAATATATATGAGGGAGATCATTCTTTGTTATTCAAATTATGAATAAATTTGAAATAAATTATGAATAAATTGTTTACATCCATAAAACATACCTAAGGTTAACTTTTTTCTTTGTATTTAAAGTCTCAGGATCTAGCATTTGTAAAGATGCTTTTGTAAACAAAACAGGATCTAGCATTTGTAAAGTCCTAGAAAAGAGAGCTCCCATCATTTCCGTATTTGTTCTAATATATTCTCTATTACCAAGAAAGAATTATTGGAAGGAAGAATTTTTCTTCACCACATATCTAGAATAAGAGGTACATTACACTTGGGTATATCTTCCCATTACTCAGAATTAAGAAAAGATACACTAAGCATGGTCAACAAAACAGTTATTAAAATGCAAAACTGTGTAATGGTATTTGAATTCATGCTATAGGTTATTTAAAATAATATATCTACTCTTAATACTTTAAATACAATCCTTTACATACAAGCATACTTATAAAATATGACTACTTCCACAAATTATTGGGGGAAAAAATCTGATACAAACATTATATGCTGCTAGCAGTAAACTCTAGACAAATAGAAGAATTATAGGCTGATTTGAAAGTTTAGGTAGACAAAACATTTGAGAGAAGTATCTGACAATAAAAAACCTATAAGATACATCACAATGGTAATGCTGTACATAGCAAATATACTGAACATATGAAATGACACTTTACCGCTACTAAATCCCCAGAAAACTGAAGTTATTGTTATATTTGAACAATATTGATGTTCTGTATTCTGCATATCCTAAAATACCATTAACTTCATACAATGGCTACATTTATGAAGAAATGTGAGAATATAGCCTGCCTTAACATTGCAGACATAAATTTAAAATATGAATATGTGTAATCCAGTCAATCTTTTATATGGTATTGCACAGCAAGAATAATGATAAAACATTTAATGGAGAGAATGGTGCAGAATGAATTTTTCATAATGGTTAATGACAAGGCCAAAAACAAATCTTTCCCTGTTTCTTAAACTTTTTGATAAATGACAGATACAGATCCATTTTGTTTTGTTTTCACACCAGTATAAAGACAGACCTGAGACTGTGTAATTATATATATATGTGTATACACACACACACACACACACATATATATAAAAGAGGCTTAATTGCCTCACAGTTCTGCAGGCTATACAGGCGTCTGCTTCTAGGGAGGCCTCAGGAAACTTACAATTATGGCAGAAGGTGAAGGGGAAGCAGCCAGAGTCTTCACATGGCCAACAGGAGAGAGAGAGCAAGGGGAAAGGTGCCACACACATTTAAATGGCTCGATCTCGTGAGAACTCTATCACGAGACAGCACTAGCTGGATGGTGCTAAACCATTAGAAATCACTACCATGATCCAATCACCTCTCACCAGGCCCCACCTCCAACACTGGGGATTACAATTCAACATGAGATTTGGGTGGGGACACAGAGCTAAACCATATCAGCACCTAACTAACTTTACTCTTCTTTGTTTCATGAGTAATTAGCTAGGATTAAAGCTCTTTATACCCCTGAAACTAGCTAGGCACAGAAATAAACATTTTCCTGTTAAAATAACTGACAAATGTTCCCTGCTTACAAAACAGCACTGAAAATTATTCTAATATTAAACAATTTACAGTATGAAATACACATAGGTATTTTGTTTACCTCATTATTTCCTTTTTCTTTTTAGCAACTTCTTTGGTGTTCTTTTTTGGGTTAGAGAGTTGGACTCATGTACAAAACAAACAAGCACCTCTTCGGCAACTTGTTTACTCCTCCCTGTAAGAGTGTCAAGGCAAAACCATTCTGTTGAGATACTTTGATGTTCAAAAATGTTCTCCTGTCCCTATTGCAATAGTCCATATAAAATCATCTCCTTGATTGTCTGGTAAATGTTATCTTCAACTGTACCATGTAACTCCATCAATATTCTAAATAGATAAAAGGATAGTAAATTGCATTTAAATTTTGGCAAATGATTGAAAGAATGAAAACAGTATGGAGGAAACAGATAAAAACAAAACACACTTTTTATTGTATATAAGCAGTTGACATTTAGGTAGTGAAAAATTCTAGAGAGAAAGCATTGTGGGAGCTTAAGAGAATAGAAATTCGGTCACTAGAAGCTGGGGAGGGTAGCTGGGAAGAGAGGAAGAAGTAGAGTTAATGGGTGTAAAAATATAGTCAGAATGAATGATATCTAGTATTTAGCAGCACAATACAGTGACTATAGTCAATAATAACTTATTGTATATTTTAAAATAACTAAATGAGTTAAATGTGAATGTTTCTAACACAAAGAAATGATAAATGCTTGGGGTGATAGATACCCCAATTTTGCTGATGTGATTGTACATTATATGCCTGTATCAAAGTATCACATATGTCCCATGAATATAAGCACCTATTATTTGCCCATAATAATTAAACATTTTTAGAAAAGCAATTATGCATGATAGTTTGAAGTATTTTAGGAGACAAATTTCAATAATTGATACCTAGAAGAATTAACTTCAGAAAGAAAGGAAGAATGTTTTTTAAATCTGGAAAGAAAAAATTAAAAGCTTAATTACTACATAATCTTCAAATACCTTCTGTAAACAAGCCTATTTCTTAACATCTGCTGAATCTTATGACTATCATTTTAAATAATATATCTCATATGTGGAAGGCATATAGAATTTACCAAAAACCTCAAAATGATGTGAAATCAAAGAAAGTACAGAAAAGGCATAGCTAAATGTCGAATTACAAAAATGATACTGAAAAATATTCTAGTAGTAAACCATTTACAATCTGAGATACATATATGTATTTGGTTTACCTCATTATTTGATTTTTCCTCTTAAGATTTTTAGATTATTTTTAAAACATTTTGTGTGCTTGTTTCACGTTGCATGCTTTTTCTTTTTTGGCAACATTTTTGGTGTTTTGTTTTGTTAAGAGAATTGGACTCATATGTACAGTACTGCCCACTGTTTCTACCTTTTTAAAAAAGATTTTCTTGTTCTATTGACACCCACAGCTGCACAAAAGATACTAGCTTAAACTCTCCCAATTATTCTCCCTTAGCCACTGCATATCTGACAGAATGGAAGAGTAGCCCACGATTCCAACTTCTATTCTTTTGTAATATATGTATAAAGACAACATTGTTAAATTCTTAACTATTTGAAAAATTTTGAAGATCATAAAAAACAAGGCAAGACCTAAACACCATGACAGATTGGAAGAGATAACGGAGAAATGTCTGAAATTTAGTTGATAGTAATATACAAATTTGGTTTCTTTGTTTTGACAAATTTGCTATGGTTCTGTAAGATGGTTAACATTGGCAGAATCCAGAAAGAGGTCATAAAAGGGTTCTTTATGCTATCTTTGTCACTTTTCTAACTTTTTCTAACATTATTTAAAAATAAAAATTAAAACAACAAATCAACAATGATACAGAGGTACCTACCAAGTTATTCCTCTCCAAGCCAGGCATTCATTAAGGTACCTTGTTGTGAGACTGCTTAAAGGTGCCTCACTATACTTATTGGGAGGATTGTGATTTGGACTGAATGGTGTCACAGTGCTCCCAAAGTTTGAGATTAAGGAAGTGATGCATGTCTATATATTTCACTCTGATTATTATCGTTGTCAAGGGTGATATTATTTGCCCATCTCCACATCCTAATTATCATTCTGCTCTAGTGAAGACACTCGCTTCAAGGATAATGTTGTGAGCCCTCTCTCCAACTCCGATTATCAGTCTGCTCTACTGAAGACATTCACTTGCCTACAAATAGATTAGAATCTGAAGAATATATATAGTTGTTTATTATATGGAGTAATAGTTTCATTACTTCCCTTCCCTGCTTCCATCCTGCATTTAATCACCTCCTGTACTGCACCCTCAGGATAATATGGTATTTCCTCATAGGCCTTTATGTCATCCAAACAAAGTTTGTTTTCCCACATATTCAGGTAATGGCAATGTGAGATTCAGCTGTAATTGGAAGGTATTTAAAATAGTTGAAAATCCATTGGTATTGTCTGATTCATAGACCATGAAAATTAATATGTTATTTATGCTCTGCACAGCTGTCTTTAGTGCTGGAAGTTAAAAGGTTTGAGAAGGGAAGGGACATTGAAGGGAATTATATTTTCAAGTTAGAAGAAAGATGGCATGTAAAGGAGCATTAAAAATTCATAGATTTACAAAGTGCTTTTGGATTTGCTAATTGTTTTCAAAGATTTACATAGTATCTAGAGAAATATAAAGTTATGAGCAATAATAAATTTTTAGGTAATTTAAAAAATTGATTTGGATCAGTGGCACTTATTCACCAGTATAGATATTATTGACTTTATGTAAGAGCAATAAATGTTTTGCATTTAAATTAAAATGGTACATCGCATTACTTGTATCTACATTAACCCACAAGCCTATAAATGCATGATTTTATCATTGCAAATAAATATAAAGGGGAATACACAATGCCAGAAACAGTTTTTTTTTGTTGCACTGATTTTAAAAATTAAAGTTATTTCAAATATAATAGGCCATATCAACATTTAATTCAAAGAAAATTATAAGGAGAATGAATAATCTCTTAAATCTTTTTTAGATACCAGAAAAATATCTTCTTCCATTTACTTGATTCATATACTCACCATAACTGTTATTGTCTTGCTTATGAACCATAATTCCCCTTAAAAAGTTGTATATATATGCTATATATGAATATAACAAATGTATTCATATATTAGAATACAATGATTGCATAGCTTCTTCAGATTATAAAATTATGCATTTGTTATTTTCCTGATTGTTTATTAAAAGACAATAATAACCTAGGAAATGGAAGAATATTATGCTTTTCTAATGGTTTACAGTGAAAAAAACTGATAATTGAAAAGATAATGGAGATACTCACAGATTTCAGGGATTCTCTAACAAGGGTGATGCAATTCTAGCTTAAGAGAGAGAGAGGCAGAATGATAGACCATTTTCATCTTTGGGAAAATCTAATTATTACAACGTTTCTTATATATCTATCCAAAACAGATTTTTTAAAAATAATGCTTTATCCTGATCCTCTTTACTCTATGGAGCAGCAAAGAGTAAAACAAAAGCTGTTATGAGCTCAAGACATTTAAGAGTATATATAACATTCTCTTTGTTGATTAAAAGAAAAAAAATTTCAAGCATAGTTTCTTTAGACATTGCCTATCTTGTTTGTTTGCTTTCCTTGCAGGTATTATGACTATTACTCCTAATAAAACTCTGGATTTCTGAACTAAATGCAACATAAGGTTTGATCAAGTCTGTAGGATGGATCTAGCCTTTACTCTGGATTATAGTCATGCAGACCAAATCTTAGTAGCTTTTCTGTACATATATGTCCCAGTATTTTAACTATTTGTTAAAATAGTGAAAGGTGAATTCTAAAGATCATTTTACCAAATTCATCCGGTTGTGTTATGTAATTAATCCTTAACATTCACACCCACATCTCCTAAATTAAATTAAGCAGTCCCATGTGTTTCTAGAATAGGAAAATTGTAAGAAAAATATTCCTATGTAATTACATGTTGAAGGTTGGTACTTATGTGTTGAAAATATATCTATCAACCAAATATTCTATGTAAGTGGAACTGAGGGTCAATTTTCAAATCCTGGGGGTTAAGCATTTCTTGCAAAGATTGCAGCAAGTATTTATTTATTGCCTACTATGTGACATACATTGAGCTAGGTACTGTGGATTTAATAATGAATAAAACTATGCAGGATTATTTCCTTAAATGCTTCTACAGTTATCTGGTAGGGAATAACATTGCTAAGTTCTTACAAAAATCACAATTGTTAAAAAATATATGGAGAAAACAGTGGATTGTTTCCAATAATTTAATTACAGAAATTTTCAAAAAATATAACTACTTAAAAAGCAACAAAAACATCAAATATTTAGAAAGAAATTCAACAAAATATGTTCAAGACTTAGACACAGACCACTCTAAAATATATTTTGAAAAATTAATGACCTAAATTAATGGAAAACTATAGCAAGTTTATGGTTTGAGCACTATATGTTTTATAAATTTTGTTTCTTCCAAAATTGATCTACAGATTTAATGTTATCCAATTTTAAATTTTCACATATTTTAGTAGATTTTGGCCAAACCCTAGGTGGGACTGTGCACTACCAAAGAAGTAATGGTTTTTTCCATAAAGTTTTCTAGCAGAACTGGATAACTATTTGTAAAAAAATAAAATATGAAAAGTAACCAAATGAAACTTCACAACAACAACAAAAATGTCTAATACAAGAGACTATATAGCTAAAGGCCTAATAAGAAAATTTCTAGAAGATATCATAGTATAATGGAATACTTTTCTGACCACAGGGAGGTTTTGTTTTTTATTTTTACTATGTATTTCTATGTAGGGTTGCCAAATTTGGTATATAAAAATGCATGAAACTCAGTTTAATGTGAATTTTGGATAAACAATGAATACACTTTTTTAGCATAAATGCATGCATGCAATATTTGGGACATAAATATACTAATTTTTTTTATTGTTTATTTGAAATTCCCGTTTGATTGGGTATCTTGTGTTTTATCTGGCAACTCTATTTCTCGGTAAATACATAACATAAAAATGCATATGTGTGCCAAAGAAAAGTACAATAATATTCATAGCAGTATTATTTGTAAAAGTTCCAAACTTGATACAATTTAAATGTCCATCATCAGTAGAATGGTTAAAAATTATAGCATATGCATACAATAAAATACTTTAAATGAACACACTACAGCTAAGGCAAATAAAAATACTGACACGGAAGAATACCTATTATACGATTACATTTATACAAAGTTCAAGAACAACAGAAACTAAAGTATGATATTAAAAGTCAGGATAGGAATTACCCTTAGGGGAATGGGGAAATAAGGACTGGGAGAGTTTGTAGGTGGGCTTCTGAGGCGCTGGCAATATTGGATTTCCTGATTAGGTTGGTATGTATACTTTGTAGCCTTTCTTTGAGTTCTATATTATATATACTACACTTTTCTGTAAAAGTGTAAATTCAATAAAAAAATACTAAAATGTTACAGATACAGTAACATAGGCAAAATTGGCTCTAAGGCAAATAACATTACTAGGAATAAAAAGGTCTCTATTCTGTGATAAAAATGTTCAATCAGCTCACTAGATGTGAAAATTCTAGACTTGTATTTGGATAGTAATTTATATTTAAAAACTTGAAAGTAAAAATTAACAGATTTTTTAAAATAATAATGAGAGGTTTCAACATTTCTTCCAAAAAGTTAAAATATAAATTTTTACAATGGAAAATTAAACTTGATCTAATGGACATAAAAAGAACATTTCAACCTATAGAAAATAGTTATTAAACTTACCATTTCCAAGACCATAAGTTATATTTCAACAAGTTTTAAAGAATAGGTTTCTTTAAGCCTACTTTCTTTGCCAATAAAGATTTTAACATAAAAAATTCTCAATTTCTTTCATCAGTATTTCATAGTTTTCATTATTTAGATCTTTCACTTTGGTTAAGGTAATTCACAGATATTTAATTATATATGAATTTATGCAGTATCAGTTGTAATGTCTCTCTCATTTCTGATTTCCGGCTAAAGGTTTGTGAATTTTGTCTAACTTTTCAAAAAATAGAGCTTATTTTTTATTGATTTTTTGTATTGCTTTACTCATTTCAATTTCATGTATGTTTTTAATTTTCTTTCAATTTCATTTATTTCTTCTCTGATCTTTATGATTTACTTTCTTCTACTAATTTTGGGATTGGTTTGCTCTTGCTTTTCTAGCTCTTTAAGATATTAATCATTAGATTGTTCATTTGAAGTTTTTCCTCTTTTTTGAGGTAGGCACTTATGGCTATAAACTTCCCTCTTAGTACTGCTTTTGCTTTATTCCAGAGGTTTTGGTATGCTGTGTTTCCAGTATCATTTGTTTCAAGAAATTTTTTAATTTCCTTCTTAATTTCTTCATTGACCTACTGGTCGTACAGGAGCATGTTTTTTAATCTCCATGAATTTGTATAGTTTCCAAAATTCCTCTTGTTATTAATTTCTAGCTTTATTCTATTGTGGTCAGAGAAGATGCTTGATACTATCTCAATTTTTAAGACTTGTTTTGTGACCTAATGTACAGTCAATCCTTGAGATGGATCCGTGAACTGAGGGAAAAAATGTATATTCTGCAGCTGGATGGAATGTTCTGTAAATATCTGTTAGACCCATTTGGTCTATCGTGAAAATTAAGTCTGGTGTTTCTTTGTTGATTTTCCATCTGGAAGATCCGTCCAATGCTGAAAGTGGGATGTTGAAATCTCCAGCTATTGTTGTACTGGGGCCTATCTCTGTCTTTAGCTCTGCTAATATTTGCTGTACCTATCTGGGTGCTCCACAGTTAGGTGCATATATATTTAAAATAGTTATAGTCTCTTGATTAATTGAACCCTTTATCATTAGATAGTAGTGTTCTTTGTCTCTTCTTATAGTTTTTACCTTTACATCTATTTTGTCTTATACAACTATAGTGACTTCTACTCATTTTTGGTTTCCATTGGTATGGAATATTTTTTTTCATCCCTTTATTTTCAGTATATATGTGTCTTTATAGGTGAAATTTGTTTCTCATAGGCAACAGATCAATGAGTCTTGTTACTTACCTATTCAGCCAATCTATGTCTTTTGATGAAAGACTTTAGTCCATTTACATTCAATGTTATTGTTGATAAGTAAGAACTTACTCTTGCAATTTTGTTATATGTTCTGGTTGTTTTGTGGTGTTCTCTTTTTTTACTTCCTGTCTTCCTCTAGTGAAAGTGATTTTTCTCTAGTGATATGATTTAGTTTCTCACTTTTTTGTGTGTGTATCCACTGTATGTTTTTTTGGTTCAAGGTTACCATGAGGTGTGCAAATATTACTTTATAACCCATTATTTTAAGCTGATAAAAACTTACCATTATTTGCATGAAAAAAAAAAGAAAAAAAAAACTAACAAAAGCTCTATGCTTTAACTTTATCTCCCTGCTTTTAAACATTTTGTGGTTTATATTTATATCTTACTGTATTGACTATGTCTTTAAAAGTTGTTTCAGTTATTATTTTTGATTGGTTCATCATTTAGTCTTTATATATAGGATTAGACTAGTTTAGACACCATAGTTACAGTGTTATGATATTTTTCTGTGTGCTTATATTATGAGTGAGTTTTGTACCTTCAAGGCAGCAAGGGCAGTACCACTGCAGAGCCAATGGCAGCGGGGCTTTCAGTTGACTCTTAGAGCTCTACCTCAGAGAAATGCAGAAATGCTGCTACTGGTAATGTTCAGCCAGATAGTCAATGGCTGCACCTCTGACCTGAGGTGAGAGCCCCACTTGATGAAGAGCAGATGGTTTAGGGCTCACAGGGAAAAGAGATTGGGCTTCTCTCCATATGGTGACTGTGTTGTGCTGAAAGTGAGACTAAAGCCCTCAGGCTCTTTGTTTCTTCTCCAGTGCAGAGGCAGCAGGGACAAAACTGCTGCTGTGACAGTGTCTGGGGGGCTGTTGATTGTCTCTTGGAGACCCTTCTTCAGGGAAACACAGAGCCACCAGAAGTGGGAATGCTCAGCTGGGTGTAGGACAGCTGTTCTGAGGTCTAGAGCTGGTGATCTTGCTTGGTAAACACTGGGTGGTAGGGGCTCACAGGGAAGAGAGCCTGGGCTCCTCTCTCTGTGGTGGCTGCAAAATGCTGGATGTTCCAGGATAGTGACCAGGACCTTTTCCCCTTACCCAGCCTGAGGGCAGTAAAGGCAATACCAGTGCAGTTGCAATGGCAGAGGGGCTATGGGTTGTCTCTGTGCTTTCCTCCCCAGAGAAACACAGATCTGTCACGAACTGAAGTGTTCAGGTGGGGCAGGGTGATTGTGCTGGAGGCCTAATATAATGACCCGCGTGGAAAACACTCTTGTCACTTTCCATAAGGCTGCTGTGCTGTGCTGGGAATCCAGGTCAATCCCCAACCACTATGCTCCCTCCTGAGCCTAAGGGAAATAGGAGTGAGCGTTGTGAGGTAGCAAAAATGGCAGCGTGCCTGCCCCTCTGGGAGCTCTGTCCAAGGGAACCACAGAGCTGCTACTGCCCAAGAGCCTAGTCGGGATGTGGCTAGGTCCCAGTCAGGAGGCCCTGCCCAGCGAGGAGCAGCAAGGTTAGGAACACACATGGGAAACAACAGTGGCCACTTTTTCATAAGGTCGCTGGACTGGCCAGGGGTTCCATGATAGTCCCTAATCACTGCACTCCCTCTGAAGCCCAAAGGCAACAGGAGGGCGGGCTGTAGAGCAGCAAAAATGTGGCCTGCCTCTCTTTCTGGGAGTTCTGTCTCAGGGAAGTGCAAAGCTGCTACCAGTCCAAAAGCCCAGGCGAGGGGTGGCTGAAGTCACAGGTGAGAAGGTCCTGCCCAGAGAGGAGCAGCTGGGTCATGGACCCACGTGGAAAACAGTTTGGCTACTTTTCTGTAAGGAAGTTGAGCTGTGCTGGGAATCTGCAACAGTCCCTAATCGCTCACACTCCCCCAAGCCTAAGGGCAACAGACATCTGTGGCACAGTGAAAATGGCAGCCTGCCTCTCCCTTAGGGAGCTCAATCCCAGGTAAGAGCGGAGCTGCTCCTGGCCAGAAAACTCAGGCGTGGCTGGAGTGGCCACACTAATGTCCCAGGCCAGTGGGACTTATCTTTATCCTCTGTTCCGGGAACTTCAGCCACTGGCATGGGGATGCCTGGGGATCCAAGGCTCCTGGAACTCCATACGAGCCTGAGTGCCACCTCTGGATTCCATGTAGCTCTCTTTGTCAGTCTGGAGGCCTCAGTTGTAGGGCTTACAAAGAATGTTCTGGGCCCAGGGATGCAGAAGCCCATGGCAAAAGTGTGGGTCCCTGTGGCCTCACTCACTCACCATTTACCTGTGGTTGAAGGAGTCCCCTGGCTCCATGCCACTCCTGGGGGGGGCAGCTGTATTATCTCACTCTTCTCCATTCCCTGTTGGTCACACTGTTTCCTTGATGAATCCCAATGTATCCACCTGGTTGTTCCACTTGAAGAACTACTGTCCATTCACCGTTTTTTCTTCTCTCCATGACAGCAGCACACAAAAGTTGCTTCTAGTCAGCCATCTTCTCCCCCTTTTTAAATTATACTAGTATCTTAGTAAAGATTCCTTAGGCTTATCTGTGTACAAGATCATGGCATCAATATGCAGAGATAGTTTTACTTCTTTCTAACATGTGCATTTTATTTCTTTTACTTGTTTAAGTGCGCTGGCTCTAACCTTTAGTACAATGTTGCACTCTACTGGGGAGAGTAGACAATCCTGGTTTTTTTCCTGACCTTAGGAGAAAAGTGTTCACTCTTATGTCAGTATGTATAACGTTATTTATAGTTTTTTCCTAAGTGTTCTTTATCAGATGAAGGTGGTAATTCCTTTATCCTATTTTGCTGAGTATTTTTTATCATGAAAGAGTGTTTTTCAATTTTTTTGTCAAATTTTGTTTCTTGTTCTAGTGAGATAATCACATTTTTAATCCTTTATTCTGTCAATATGGTGTCTTACAGTTACTGATTTTGAGATGTTAAACTAATCTCACATTCCTGTGACAAGTCGCACTTGGTCAGGTTGTCTAATTTTTGTATGTTACTGGATTAAATTTGCTAGTATATATTGAAAATTTTGCTTTTATATCTATAAGAAATATTCATCTATAGTTTTCTTTATATCTGATATCTTTCTCTGATTTTGGTATCAGAGTAATACTTCATAGATAACTTCACAGATACTTCATAGTAATAATTCATTGATACTTCATAGAATGATGTGGAAAAGTGTCCTCTTCTCTCCTCCTTTTTGCAAAAGTTTGTGAAAGATTCATGTTTAAAAGTTTGAATTCACTAGTGAAGCCCTCTGAGACTTGATTTTTCTTTGTAGTGGACTGTTTGATTACTAATTTAATCTCTTGTTATATGTCTATTCAGATATTCTTTTTATTCTGGAGTCAGTTTTCATAGTTTGTATCTTTCTAGGAAATTTTCTGTTTCATCTGGTTCATGTTAATTTGTTGACATACAGTCGTTCATCAAATTCCCTTATAATCCTCTTTACGCTTATAGGGTCTGCCTTTATTCTTGAAATTCATAACTTCTGCGCTTTTCTCTCTTCTTTGTTTAGTTTATCTTGTTTAGATTTTTATTTTTTGTCAATTTGGTGTGTCTATTCAACGGATGCACTTTTGGTTTCATTCATTATCTCTATTTTTTTTCTATATTTCATTTATTTGTGTTCCACTTGTTATTATTTACTTCCTTCTCATTGCTTTGAATTTAGTTTGTTCTTTTTGTAGTTTCTTAAGTGAAAAGTTTAAGATATTTATTAGAGATTGTTCTTTTATAATATAAGTGTTTGCAGCAGTAAGTTTACTCTAGCACTGCCATTTTTTGCATCACTCTATTATTCTTTGGAACATCTGCAATACCATCATTCAAGTAGATAGCCATGTCTTTTTTTTGCCTTCTTTTTTTTTTTAATACTTTAAGTTCTAGGGTACATGTGCACAATGTGCAGGTTTGTTACATATGTATACATGTGCCATATTGGTGTGCTGCACCCATTAACTCATCATTTACATTAGGTATATCTCCTAATGCTATCCCTCCCCTCTACCCCCACCCCACAACAGGCCCCAGTGTGTGATGTTCCCCTTCCTGTATGCAAGTGTTCTCATGGTTCAGTTCCCACCTATGAGTGAGAACATGTGGTGTTTGGTTTTTTGTCCTTGTGATAGTTTGCTGAGAATGATGGTTTCCAGCTTCATCCATGTCCCTACATAGGACATGAACTCATCATTTTTTATGGCTGCATAGTATTCCATGGTGTATATGTGCCACATTTTCTTAATCCAGTCTATCATTGTTGGACATTTGGGTTGGTTCCAAGTCTTTGCTATTGTGAATAGTGCTGCAGTAAACATACATATGCATGTGTCTTTATAGCAGCATGATTTATAATCCCTTGGGTATATACCCAGTAATGGGATGGCTGGGTCAAACGGTATTTCTAGTTCTAGATCCTCAAGGAATCGCCACACTATCTTCCTTAAATGTTAGACCTAAAACCATAAAAACCCTAGAAGAAAACCTAGGCAATACCATTCAGGACATAGGCATGGGCAAGGACTTCATGTCTAAAACACCAAAAGCAATGGCAACAAAAGCCAAAATTGACAAACGGGATCTAATTAAACTAAAGAGCTTCTGCACAGCAAAAGAAACTACCATCAGAGTGAACAGACAACCTACAGAATGGGAGAAAACTTTTGCAATCTACTCATTTGACAAAGGGCTAATTTCCAGAATCTACAAAGAACTCAAACAAATTTACAAGAAAAAAACAAACAACCCCATCAAAAAGTGGGCGAAGGATATAAACAGACACTTCTCAAAAGAAGACATTTATGCAGCCAACAGACACAAGAAAAAATGCTCATCATCACTGGCCATCAGAGAAATGCAAATCAAAACCACAGTGAGATACCATCTCACACCAGTTAGAATGGCGATCATCAAAAAGTCAGGAAACAATAGGTGCTGGAGAGGATGTGGAGAAATAGGACACTTTTACACTGTTGGTGGGACTGTAAACTAGTTTAGCCATGTCTTTTTAAAATTTTAATTGATCCTTTCTAGAGCTACATTCTTACTTGATTTAACCAATTATCTAATAACTCTTCTATTGACTTAATGAATACTTCACTCTTTGAGTAGTGTGATGTTTTACTTTGTAATCCAATGCATTACATGCAAAATCCTCAGTCACAGAAAGAATGCATACCAAAGACATTTATAATGAAGGGGATACATAGACACTGCTTTATGATGAGTATGGTGTTGAGAGACATATAGTTACTTTAATTTTCTTAATTGTTAAAGATGATTGTGTTTTGATGTATTTTCCTTTATAACATTCATACTACTTATGTTTTAGATAGTCACTACTAGTATAATGAGAAGTCCTTGTATCACCAAATTTACTTTTAAAAACATGTTGTTGTGTTGTTATTGTTGTTTTGTAGTCTCTTGTATGGGTATATACTAGTATTTAGATACTTAGGAATGTTGGGAAAAAAGTGCATGGGATTATTGTACATCAATATAGGATGAAAGAAATAGAAAAAAGCAGAAGACTCAGTTGGTATTTGCAAGAGTATGATGAAACCAGATTAGTTGTAAGGAAATGGAGTATGATTATAATGAGTAGGAGGAGAATCTTGAATAATTCTTTGGGTAGACTAGTATGGTAAAATTATAAAGATTAATATTGTGCAAGTAACATAAGGAATGCCTTTTTTAAGGTTATTTTTTTGCTGCAAAATAACTTTTGATCCCTAAATACAAAATACCATACATTTTAAAAATGTATAGCTTGGATAATATAGTAGTATATTTGCCCCATTGTAAAATCTAAGTTAAAAAACTTCATCACGTTTCATAGTGTGCTGGTTAATATTATGAACTCTTAAAGGCACTTGAAAGTGATTCCGTTTATTCCTTCCTATCTCTTAATTCATTGGCATTACATTGGTAGCTTAAAATTGTCCTTAGTAGGAGAATTTACATCAGATAAATTGTCAAATGTTACAAATCACTTTTTTTCTGGAGAGACTATTGTTAAACAATTACAAGCCCATAACTGCACCAAATTAAACCTTTTTTCTACTTTAAATAGTCTGTAACAGTTCTGGCTGTTTAAAATAGATATTACACAATCTTACTCTCAGAAAAAATCAGATCAATCTTTAAATAGAAACTGCCTGTGGGATTTATCAATATCATTCCGAAAACTTTTGGCAAATAAAGAAGTTAATGCAATAGTAAAATATGTAATTTATTCTCAAGTAAAACATTTATGGATATCTGATTTTAAAAATCTTGATATTTCAATCAGTAATCCTGTAGAAAATGAATTTATTATCATGAATTTATCACTACATTTCTTTATTTCATAATTGGTAGTTGGCTAGATCTCCTAGGAAGAGCTTTTGCCTACAAACAAAACAAAAAGTCACTGAAATTCTTTATATCAAGTAAATATTATAAGAAAATAAAGTATAAAATTCCTGTCCATGGCAGGAATTTGAACAGACCAATGTATTAAATTACAAACATAAAGGAAAACATAGTAAGTAGTCAGAATACTACTGGAACAGTGAAATTATGAAGTATTAATTGAGCAGTAGTTGATTGCTGCACTCTCCAGTTGTCTAGTCATTTTCAAAGACAGTCATTCATGTGTCTAGCATAATTTTATTCTTGATATTAGTTTCAAAAGCTATTATTTTTCAAATGGGTCTATAAAATCACAAGTATGAAGAACTGAAATTACAGCATTGAGTAGGCTTTGTTGTGATTCATAATTATTTTAATACTGATAACTAATATATATCAAGTGACATTAATTTCCATTTGTCAGATGAAATGGCTGCTCTTACTATAAAAATGTCATATTCTTTGTTTAAGCTGATATTTCCTCTTTTTGGTTTTATATTCTGGGAGTACATGTGCAGGTTTGTTAAATAGATATATTGCATGATGCTGAGGTTTGGGCTTCAACTGAACCTGTCACCCAAATAGTGAACATAGTACAGAATAGGTCGTTTTTAAGCCCTTTCCCCACTCTCTCCCTCCTTTCTTTTGGAGTCCCCAGTGTCTACGTTCTCATCTTTACATCCCTGTGTACCTAACATTTAGCTCCCACTTATAAGTGAGAACATGCAATATTTGTCTTTCTGTTTCTGCGTTAATTCATTTAGGATAATGGCCTCCAGCTGCAACCACATTGCTGCAAAGAACATGATTTCATTCCTTTTGTGGCTGCATAGTATTCCATGGTGTATATGTACTACATTTTCTTTATCCAATGCACCACTGATGGGCATCTGGGTTGATTCCATGTCTTTGCTATTGTGAATAGTCAAACTGGTTTTTCTAATTACTGATCAAATCTTGTCTTAAAAAGTTCAAATAAAACCATTATTGCATAACTGTCAGGCTGTGGCTTTGCACATAACACTTACTAAAAGAACTGTTGAATGCTGAAGATACTATTCTGTCCTACTGCCACCATGACCAGAGAAGGATAGCTTGTCATAACTGGAATTAAAAGTAAAGAGTCAGTAGTGAGTAAATCTCAGGTTTAAGCATTTATAAATTCAAGATTTCATCATATTTATTAGAAATTTTATCGTCAGAAATTAGTTTCCAGTAAAACAGAATACAAACCAAGAGTTCAAGATTCAATGTTGATTAAGTCTTAATAAGCATAATTTTCCTACCTATCTAAAAAACAGTCTAGAATTTCTTGATTCACTGTTTCCTAGTTTACAACTAGGCAACCATGGTGATGCTTAAGACTACCATACTGGCATCAATCTCATCTCAAATTTAAAGGAAATGGAAATGAAATGACAATGACTTTCTTGCATAGCAAATTTTTCATACTCAAAAAACAATGTTGGTAGCTCTTTAAAATGTAACAAAAGACTAATTCCTACTATTGTTTGCCATGTATTCCATAATTCAGAGACTTTTACAAGCCAAACTTATACAAATGCTATACTATAAAAATCCTATTTGTCATCATTGTAAATAAAATTCTTTTTCATATTCACTCAATAATTTCAGATTTTAGTATGCAACATGAACATAGCTAGAAAGAGTTAAGTTAGGAAACTTCTTTGGATACAGTTATATGAAATAACTAAGCCATTTAGTTCTGAAAGACGTGAAAAGGTGGAAGATCAATGCCTGTTAAAATAAGAGTCAATTTTTATGTATGATTCATATGTAAATAGCTGTAAATTCTATGTTTTAATTTTAATTTTTTATTTTATTTTTCCATAAGCTTTTAGGGTACAGGTGGTATTTAGTTGCCTAAGTACGTTATTTAGTGGTGATTTGTGAGATTTTGGTGCACCCATTACCCGGGCAGTATATGCCGCACCATATTTGTAGTCTTTTATCCCTCGCCTCCCTCCCATTCTTTCCCCCAAGTCCCCAAAGTCCATTGCATCATTTTTTTGCCTTTGCATCCTCATAGCTTAGCTCCCACATATTAGTGAGAACATACAATGTTTGGTTTTCCATTCCTGACTTACTTCACAGGGTGAACTCAACCACCAATGAGAAAACTTTCAGTAGAATCTTCCATAGAAGCTCATTTGATAAATGGCAATAGGAACTTTAATGTCATTGAAGCAGATGCACAGCAATGGCACTAGGGTTCTTGATCTGTGAACGTTTCATTCCCAAAAACTCTTGAGAGATTGAGAGCATTTAACGTATCCAATGATGAATGTTGGTTCTTACTTAATTACTTTGTATTCAAGGATGAACGGGTAGAAGCAAACCACCAGACCTAGGCTCTGTGAAAAATGATCTAAAACAGTTGGAAATTAAAGCATGATATAAAAATATTGAAAATACGTATATATGAAAAATAGTTGTTACAAAAGTACCTTAGAATGTATCTGTTTTGTTTCATTGAATCTTTTTTCTTCAAAGATAAACTCTGTGAAGAACAAAGATGTTGAAAAGCCATGACAAAAACATATAGGCTGATTAGAAGGAAGTATGATGGAAACAAATGAAAGGAGCCAAACAATGCATGGAAGCTACATATCTATCTTGGTTGCTGTTGTAAAGAAAAGTGTAAACTCAGAAAGAAAAATAATAATAAATCAGAGATTTCAAAAGGACAAGTCCATTACCTGTTTATGAATGCATGGAAGAAAAAAAGAGATAAAAACCAAGGAAAACAAATGGCTAAAGAATTCATAAAGAAAACACAAGAAATAGATTTTTCTGAAAGAGGCAAGAAAAAATTGAATTGGAACAAAATTTGATGACACAGTACATAAAATCATTCCTAAAGGAATTGAAAAGTACAATCAACTTTGATTATTATATTTTAGATGCAATTAATTTTAAAATAACCAAAAGGTGAAAATGTTGAGCATCAGTGATAAATCACAAATTCTAAGTGAAAAATCACAAATTCTAAGTGAAATTCTAAGAGGAGCTACTACGGGTAGCACCTCTAACTTCAGATTAAAAAATAATAATAAGGTTGCCAGAAACATGTTTTCAGAATGATAGTTCTTGCATGCAAACTAGAAAAACTGATTTTACTATATAAAATGAAAGAGAAATGTATTGGAAAAATACCAGGTAGTGTGTAATGCTGTTGTCTG
The DNA here is from genome assembly GCF_000001405.40 of Homo sapiens. Classification (NCBI taxonomy): domain Eukaryota; kingdom Metazoa; phylum Chordata; class Mammalia; order Primates; family Hominidae; genus Homo; species Homo sapiens. The sequence goes on along the minus strand of NC_000005.10, from coordinate 99,871,456 downwards.
AATGTCTGCAAAATTCAAAAGTTGAAGCCAAATTCTCATTGTAATGTTATTAAGAGGTTAGGCTGTTTGGGCTGGGCTCAGTGGCTCACGACTGTAATCCCAGCACTTTGGGAGGCCGAGGCGGGCGGATCACGAGGTCAGGAGATCGAGACCATCCTGGCTAACACGGTGAAACCCCGTCTCTACTAAAAATACAAAAAATTAGCTGGGCGTGGTGGCAGGCGCCTCTAGTCTCAGCTACTTCTGGGGAGGCTGAGGCAGGAGAATGGCGTGAACCCGGGAGGCGGAGCTTGCAGTGAGCCAAGATCGCGCCACTATACTGCAGCCTGGGCGACAGAGCGAGAGACTCCGTCTCAATTAAAAAAAAAAAAAAAAAAAAAAAAAAAAAGAGGTTAGGCTTTTTGGAAAGTGATTAAGTTCTATGGGCTCTGCCCTCTTGAAACCATTAATGCCTTATGAAAAGGCCAGAGGGAACAACTTAGGTGTTTTTTTTTTTGTTTTGTTTTGTTTTTTACCGTTTTGCCTTCTACTTTTCTGCTATGAGAAGACAGTGCTTTCTCTTCTACCAGGTAAAGCACGCAGCAAAAAGGCCCTCACCAGATGCCAAATATGGACACTTTGATCTTGAACATCTTAGCCTCCTGAACTGTAAAACATAGACAATAGATAGACATAATTTATGCTACCTGTGGCAGACATTCTTGGTTCCAATATCACATCTCCTCTGGCTATATAGAATTTTAATAGACACATCTAGTAAGGTTTATTCTGCATTGACTGCATTCTATCTTAAATGTGTGCCGTGCATTTTTCCACCTTCTGCCATAGGGTCTCTTTGCTGGTAAAACAATCTCATTTGCCCACACTCATGTACAGCATGAAAATGTGAGATTGCTATCACCTGTAGAGGCAACCTTCAAACCAATGGGTCATGATGGTGTTACTGGATAAATATACTGTTTTTTGGTTTTTGTTTGTTTGTTTGTTTGTTTCATTCAGGTTTGGCATCTACAAAGACTTTTTTATATAATAGTTCTTAAAGGTCCCAGCTAAGTCAGTTCCTGCTGCCTTAATAATGCACCCTTATATTGACCTCCATCTTCCCTGACCCTTTCTCTTCCCCTTCTTTCACTCCCACTTTCTAGTAGTGCCTTACAATAATCTGTCTTTATCCAAGTTTTATGCTTTGCTTGCAGGGAAACTCAGGACATTCTTTCTGCCCTAGAAAATAGACACTCAGTATAAGATTATAGAATAGAAGCACCTTCATGCTTCCACTTTGTAGTATTGCCTTATAATAATCTACGTTTATCCAAGTTTTATACTCTGCTTGCAGGGAAACTCAGGACATTATTTCTGCCCTAGAAAATAGACACTCAGTATAATATTATGGAACAGAAGTACCTTCATGCTGACATTTAGGTAGATGCTACAGGATTAGCATACTAAAACTATCACGTGTTGTAGGTTGGTAACAGTAAAGGACAAGAAGTGGCACTGGAAAATACAGTAACTCTAGCATTTGAACAATGTAAGATCAATGGTAGTGATAACAAAGATGAACTTGTCTTTTTTATGTTATTTTCAGACTACCTCCCTGACAAGGGATTAATAACCAGAATATATAAGGAGCTCAAACAACTCAGAAGGAAAAAATCTATAATCCAATCAACAATGGGCAAAATATCTGAATAGACATTTCTCAGGAGAAGACATACAAATGGCAAACAGGCATATGAAAAGGAACCCAACATCATTAATCATCAGAGAAATGCAAATCAAAACTACAAAAAGATATTATTTCTTCCCAGTTAAAATGGCTTATATCCAAAAGACAAGCAATAACAAATCCTGGTGAGAATGTGGAGAAAAGAGAACCCTTGTACACTGTTGGTCTGAATTTAAATTAGGAAAACCACTATAGATAACAGTTTGGAGGTTCCTCAAAAAACTAAAAGTTGAGCTACCATATGGCCCAGCAATCCCACTGCCAGGCCTATGCCCTAAAGAAAGGAAATTGGTATATCAAAGAGATATGTACACTTCCATGTTGTGGCAGCACTCTTTACAATAGCTAATATTTGAAAGCAAATTAAGTGTCCATAATGCATAATGGAGTATTATTCAGCCATAACAAACGAGATTCAGTCATTTGCAACAACATAGGTGGAACTGGAGATCATTATGTTAAGTGAAATAAGCCCGGCACAGAAAGACAAAGATTGCATGTTCCCACTTATTTGTGAGATCTAAAGTTTAAAACAATCGAAACTACAACTATCTGATCTTTAACACAGTGGACAAAAAACAAACAAACAATGGGGAAAGGACTCCCTATTCAATAAATGGTGCTGGGATGACAGGCGAACAATATGCAGAAGATTGAAACTGGACCCCTTCCTTACATCATACACAAAAATCAACTAAAAGTGGATTAAACATTTAAATGTAAAAGGCAAAACTATAAAAACACTGTAAGATAATCTAGGAAATACCATTCTGTACATAGGATCTGGCAAAGAGTTCATGATGAAGACACCAAAAGCTATGGCAACAAAAACACAAATTGACAAATGGGACTTGATTAAAGAGCTTCCATGCAGCAAAATAAACTATCAACAGAATAAGCAGACAGCGTACAGAACGGGAGAAAATATTTGCAAACTACACGTCTGACAAAGATCTAATATCCAGAATCTACAAGGAACTTAAACAAAATTCCAGAGTTCTTTTTCAGGGAGGAAAAGTTGGCAAGTTCCTCATAACGTTTATATAAAGATAGAAGTGATTCAGAATATTCAAGTAACCTTGAAAAGAAGAATAATGTTGGAGGGCTTCCGAATTTTTAAACTTACTACAGAGTTACAGTAACCAAGATACTGTGGTACCAGCATAAGAATATAAATTGTATCAAGGGAAGAAAATCAGGAGTCTAACATAAGGCTATATATTCATGGTCAATTAATTTTGATAAGAGTTCAGGGCCATTCAATGGGGAAAGGATTATCTTTTAAACAAATGTGTGCTGAAACAAGTGAATATCCATATGCAAAGCAAGAAAGTTAGACTGCTACCTCACACCATATACAAAATCAACAAAATGTTTCATAGATTTGAATATAAAATTTAAAGCTATAAAATTTATAAACAAAAACATAGTAAATTTTACTGACTTTTAAGCACTAGTTTCTTGTATATGAGACAGAACTCTTAAGTATGAAAAGAAAAATAAATAGATAAATTGAACATCAATGCAACTAAAACCTCTTCTTTTTTCCCAAAGGACACTACTGAGAAAGTAAATATGCAACCCACATAATGAGAATGATTGCAAATTATGTTTCTGATTAGAGACCTGTAAACCAGAATTTATGAGAAACTCTTACACCTCAACTATAAAATACAAATATATTGAAAATGAGCAAATTTTCTGAATACACATTTCTTCCAATAAGCTTTACAAATGACCAACAGGCATATGAAAAAATAGTTAACATCATTAATCATGAAGAGAGTGCAAATCAACATCACATTGAGATCACACTTCATGCTCACTAGGATTTCTGTAATCACAATGACAGACAATCTCAAATGTTGATGAGAATGTGGAGAAATTGGATCCCCCATACAAGGTTTTGGGGATAGTAAAATTGTGTAGCCACTTTGCAAAACAATTTAGCAGTTCCTCAAAATGCTAATTATATAGTTAACTTATAACCTATGTATTTCATCTCAAAGTATACACGCAGGAAACTTGAAAACATATTTTCACACAAAAGGTTGTAATCAAATGTTAATAGCAGGTTTATACATAATAGCTAAAAGTAGGTAGAATTGGTTTTCCAAATATTTATCAAGTGACAAATTGATGCAATTAAAAGGCATTAAGTACTAATATATGATAAAACATGGAAGGACTTTGAAAAGATTAGGCCAGATAAAATAAGTCAGTCACAAATTACCTCATATTTTACGATTTAATTTACATGAAAAGTCCATAACAGACCAATCTATAGAGACAGAAGGTAGATTAGTGGTGTCAAGAGCTGGGGTGTAGGGGGTATAGGGAAAGATCGCTATTGGGCACATGGTTTCTTTCTAGAGTAATAAGAACGTTCTAAAATGTGATAGTGAAGGATGGTTGCAATACTGTGTGGATATACTAAAACCATTTCATTATAAACTTTAAAAGTATGAATTTTATTATATTTGAGTTATATCTCAATAAAGCATTTATAAAAATTATGACTTAAAAATGAAAGTATGTATCAAGTAGTTTTTACTACATAGCAAATCTCCTTTACACTTAGTGACTTAAAACAACAATCTTTTATTTAACTTCAATTTTGTGAGTTTGCAGGAACATTCATCTTCTTTGGGTCTACTCAGCTAATCTCTGCTTGAGTCTCTCATATGTACTTATTGCCTACTTGTGTGACAGCTTAAGGCTGGATGATTTTAGATGACCTCATTTTTATATATGGTAGTTGGCAAGCTCTCATACTGAAAGATGGGACTCATACTGAAAGATGACTCTTCTTAATCAGGACACCCTTGACATATTCACATGATCATTTGAGGGTTAAGGTTGCTCACGAGTGAGCAAGTAGGCTTTGTGAGGCCTAGTCTGGAAACTTGTGCCTTATCACTGTAACTTAGTTTAAAAACATTATAAAACCAACCCAGATTCATGATTTGGGAAACGACAGACTTTTGATTGGAGATGCTGCAATGCCGTATTCCAAGGACATGGAAATAGGCAGAGAAAGCGAATGTGACATTTTTATAGTATCCCACAAAGTATTAAGACATACTGAGAAAATTCAGGAAGCCTCTAAATGTATTTGCAAATAAGTTTTATTTCTGACAGCCTAGGAAAGTCAAACATGAAGTTATATATCTTGCTATTGTATAAATAGCAGTTACATAACACCTACAAGTACTTATTTTTTAAATTCTTTATTTGTGTTTAAGACAACATTTTTTTGTTATTTAAAATTATTTTAAATGTAGGAATTTATTAGTGTCAGGTACTTCCAGAATTTTGGAGACATACAAAAATGATTCATTTTACTAAAATATATATCCACTATGAAATTATTCCTTAGAATGTAATAAATCACTGATGAGGAGTATGATAATTAATTAAGTAGATAATAACTTCAGGAAACGTTAAACATTGATAAAATATGCATGTCTCATTATTAATTTTCTAAACAGTTGTCATAGTATTACTCATTAATTATTTAAGCATTAATATATTTAAATATATTAACCCATAGATCATTTTTAAGAAAAGTTTATTGTAGCTGTGTAATTAGTACATTGTGTACTTTAGTGATGCTTTTGTTATTTCCTCTTTGAATGATGCCTACAATCCAAGTTACAAAAGGATTACTGAATAGGTATTTCTTATATCCATAGCTTAATTAAGAGAAGCAGCAATCAGTCTAACTTTACAATTAGTGTACACTTTTCATTATAACTGGGCATAATTTTTCCACATTTTTATTACTACTTTTTCTTTTTTTTTACAAATATGTCATTCTGAAATATGGAGATGATATGTAAAACTACAATACCACAGAGTGTAAACACTTTTTTTTGACTAACTTTAGAGTTGCTATTCTGAGAAGTTTAGGGACCCTAAAGATCATTTATTGTGATAGTCATGATGTAGTCCATCTCTGAAACAAACCCATCATTAATGAAAAGGCAATACAATTTCAAAAGTAAAATTAATCTTGAAATATTCCCACTGAAGTGCTTCAGATGTGTTTCATTTTAAAGTGCGCTGCAACTTTTTTTTGTTTTTGTTTTTAATTGAAATTTGAAAATTTGAAGTTGTTTCTAACTCAAGCTCAGTATTTCTTTTTCTTGAATGCTGCAAATGTGTTTTGTAAAGTGGAGTGTTCATTGTCACCATGGTTTGTGCATTATAGAAACAAGAAAGCTGAAATTTGAAGATACCAAGTCAGTTATGAAATAAAAAGTGTTAGATGAAATGCAGGAAAGTGTTTAGAAATAAGTAGTCATGTAATCTTACATAATCACAGCAGAGATATCTAGTTGACAGATAAAAGAAGGAGCATATTTAGACAACAAATGACAGGAATAGCAGGAAATTCAAATGAGGAGACAGAGGACTTCAGGTTTCAACTTTGACATATAAAGTACTTGGAAGTTGTCACATGTATCCTTACATCAAGAAGAAAGCTCAAGGACCTGAAAATCAAAGCTTTTCTTGGACCCATTGAATAATTGAGGTCATAATGCAAACAGCCACTCTGAGGTCTAGAGACACAGGCGAATACAGAGATTCACAGCCAAGGGACCTGTTAACATTGAGCAGCAACTGAGGGAGACATAAACACTAAAATGACATTTTTGTTGCATTGCTATAGGCTGTGTGGAGACTAACATGAGAAAGAGAAACTCCAAGAGGCTGAAGTCTTAGGGAGGCTCCACCCTTTTGTGAGTTTTTCCTTTAGAAACCTCACCAGGTTCTCAAGGTGATGAGCTAAGACAGATTACCTTCTGGATCCTGTAAAGGATGGGAAATGTGACAATTTTTAAATATTCCTAGAATATTCTCTCTAACAAACCCCTATCCCCTACTGAAAAGCCATCACGTAAGTCTTATCCCACTTAGGCAGAAAGGCGTTAACCCAACTCCAGCCACATCTATTAATGTGGGGGAAGCTAAGAAATTCTCCTGGAGATCATAGCCCATAACCACAGGCCCAATAAAAGACAGAGATCTAATCATAAGATTGTACAATACTTCCCTTTACCACCACATTAACAGGGCTCTAGTATGATAGCAGTAAATTATAGCTGAAAGATCTGCAAGGCAAAGACTCTGTTTATGGAGGAGTTCCTAGGAAAACTCAAACACAACAAGGGAGAGAAAAAAGGAACACAAGAGGGATTTGAAGCCTCTGGAACTTACAACAAATATTAACACAACTCACTGCTAACTAGTTTAACGTAAAGCTTCACAAGGAAGACCTATTTTCCTCAGCTCCTGATACTTCGTGTCTGGCTTTCAACAACAGCAACAAAATTACCAGTTGTGCTAAAAGATGGAGAAAAGGCAGTGTGAAGAAAATGATGCTAACCCTGTAATCCCAGCACTTTGGAAGGCTGGAGTAGCTGGATTTCTCATAACTTTTTGGTAGCATTGCGGGTTTGTTCCACAGTTTGGGAAGTCTACCAAGGTAACTCCCAAGGATAAACATATATATGTCCCATGGCCTAGCAATTCCACTTCTGTATAATAGAAATAGCCCTAAACTTGATATAAAACACAATTTTTTGAAGAGCAGGACATACATGATGATATACATTTTTACATATATACTTATAATGGAACAGTATAGATCAATATAAATAAATGAGCTCATGTTAGAGAACTTGAATGAATTACCTACAAATATAATGTTGAGTGCAAGAAGCAAGATTCAAATGAAAATTATATAAAGAACAAAAACGTGTCTATTATTTTTTAGGGGTCAGGTTAGGACCTACTTGAATAAGAGGTAGAAAGAATGACCGTGAAAGGTGGTAAAGGATTTCTGAGTAAGTCTTACATTTTTAGGTTTGAATGGTAGTTATGTGAGTGTATTCACATTTTAGATATTCATTGCATAATATACTTATGATTCATGCACTTTTCTGAACATATATCACTTAACAATTATTATATAAAATATTTTATGTCTTAAGTAATAGAAGACAGCAATATAGAGCCCTCATAATGCATGCAGTAAAGAACATAAGAAGCATAACTCCAAGATAGTTCCCTTTTGCATTCCAAAAACACAGTAAGGAAATGTACATTTCCTTTAAAGTGTGTGGACTGATTGTCTTGCTTCTATCCACAGGCTGGCACAAAATAAATTCTTTGGAAACTCCATTTCATACAGAAGCATATAAGCTGGGTGCGGTGGCTCACACGTGTAATTCCAGCACTTTGGGAGGCCAAGGCAGGCAAATCATGAGGTCAAGAGATTGAGACCATTCTGGCCAACAAGGTGAAACCCCATCTATACTAAAAATACAAAAAATAGCTGGGAGTGGTGGCATGCACCTGTAGTCCCAGCTACTCTGGAGACTGAGGCAGGAAAAACACTTGAACCCATGAGGTGGAGGTTGCAATGAGCCAAGATTGTGCCATTGCACTCCAGCCTGGTGACAGAGTGAGACTCCATCTCAAAAAAAAAAAAAAAAAAAGTAAATGAGTACAACCCTTTGCATCATGCTTTCTTGTCAAACCTACTCTCCTGATTCATTTACCACAGTACTGTATTTAATTACCCACATTCTCTAAATCAGAGTTCAGCAAATTTTCTAAGTAAAGGACTAGGTAATAAATATGTTAGGCTTTCCAGGTGATATAGTTTGGCTGTGTCCCCACCCAAATCTCAACTTGAATTGTAGCTCCCATAATCCCTATGTGTCATGGGAGGGACCCGGTGCGAGGTAATTGAATCATGGGGGCAGATTTTTCCCCTGCTGTTCTTGTGATAGTAAATAAGTCTCATGAGATCTGATGGTTTTAAAAAGGGCAGTTCCCCTGCCACGCTCTCCTGCCTGCTGCCATGTAGGATGTGCCTTTGCTCTTCTTTCACCTTCCGCATGATTGTGATACCTCCCCAGTCACGTAAAACTCTGAGTATGTTAAACCTCTGATTCTTTATAAATTACCCAGTCTCAGGTATTTCTTCATAGCAGTATGAAAATGGAATAATACACCAGGATATATGGTCTCTATTAAAACTACTCAGCTCTGCTCTTACAGAACAATAGAAAGCAGAAACAAGTTGTAAACGGGTGAGCTTAGCTGTGTTCCAACAGCATTTTATGGACACTGAATTTAAATCTCATGAAATGTTATTTTTAAATTTTAAAAACCATTTACACATGTACATAACATGTTTGTGAGAGATGCAAAAACAGGTGATGGGATTTAGTTTGTGGACCCTTGCTCAAATGGCATTTTTGGCTTCTTATCTGTTGTGTCTATAGTGTTCTATGTCAGAGCATGAAGTCCTGGGATTTGCTTTATTTGGTTTTTCTATTATCTGAGACCTTAACTTTTTCTTTTCTTTTTTCTTTCTTTTTTTTTTCTTTTATTATTATACTTTAAGTTTTAGGGTACATGTGCACATTGTGCAGGTTAGTTACATATGTATACATGTGCCACGCTGGTGCGCTGCACCCAATAACTCATCATTTAGCATTAGGTATATCTCCCAATGCTATCCCTCCCCCCTCCCCCCACCCCACAACAGTCCCCAGAGTGTGATGTTCCCCTTCCTGTGTCAATGTGATCTCATTGTTCAATTCCCACCTATGAGTGAGAATATGCGGCGTTTGGTTTTTTGTTCTTGCGATAGTTTACTGAGAATGATGATTTCCAATTTCATCCATGTCCCTACAAAGGACATGAACTCATCATTTTTTATGGCTGCATAGTATTCCATGGTGTATATGTGCCACATTTTCTTTTTTTTTTTTATTATACTTTAAGTTTTAGGGTACATGTGCATATTGTGCAGGTTAGTTACATATGTATACATGTGCCGTGCTGGTACGCTGCACCCACTAACTTGTCATCTAGCATTAGGTATATCTCCCAATGTTATCCCTCCCCCCTCCCCCCACGCCACCACAGTCACCAGAGTGTGATATTCCCCTTCCTGTGTCCATGTGATCTCATTGTGCAATTCCCACCTATGAGTGAGAATATGCGGTGTTTGGTTTTTTGTTCTTGCGATAGTTTACTGAGAATGATGGTTTCCAATTTCATCCATGTCCCTACAAAGGACATGAACTCATCATTTTTTATGGCTGCATAGTATTCCATGGTGTATATGTGCCACATTTTCTTAATCCAGTCTATCATTGTTGGACATTTGGGTTGGTTCCAAGTCTTTGCTATTGTGAATAATGCCGCAATAAACATACGTGTGCATGTGTCTTTATAGCAGCATGATTTATAGTCCTTTGGGTATATACCTAGTAATGGGATGGCTGGGTCAAATGGTATTTCCAGTTCTAGATCCCTGAGGAATCGCCACACTGACTTCCACAATGGTTGAACTAGTTTACAGTCCCACCAACAGTGTAAAAGTGTTCCTATTTCTCCACATCCTCTCCAGCACCTGTTGTTTCCTGACTTTTGAATGATTGCCATTCTAACTGGTGTGAGATGATATCTCATAGTGGTTTTGATTTGCATTTCTCTGATGGCCAGTGATGATGAGCATTTTTTCATGTGTTTTTTGGCTGCATAAATGTCTTCTTTTGAGAAGTGTCTGTTCATGTCCTTCGCCCACTTTTTGATGGGGTTGTTTGTTTTTTTCTTGTAAATTTGTTTGAGTTCATTGTAGATTCTGGATATTAGCCCTTTGTCAGATGAGTAGGTTGCAAAAATTTTCTCCCATGTTGTAGGTTGCCTGTTCACTCTGATGGTAGTTTCTTTTGCTGTGCAGAAGCTCTTGAGTTTAATTAGATCCCATTTGTCAATTTTGACTTTTGTTGCCATTGCTTTTGGTGTTTTAGACATGAAGTCCTTGCCCATGCCTATGTCCTGAATGGTAATGCCTAGGTTTTCTTCTAGGGTTTTTATGGTTTTAGGTCTAACGTTTAAATCTTTAATCCATCTTGAATTGATTTTTGTATAAGGTGTAAGGAAGGGATCCAGTTTCAGCTTTCTACATATGGCTAGCCAGTTTTGCCAGCACCATTTATTAAATAGGGAATCCTTTCCCCATTGCTTGTTTTTCTCAGGTTTGTCAAAGATCAGATAGTTGTAGGTATGCGGCGTTATTTCTGAGGGCTCTGTTCTGTTCCATTGATCTATATCTCTGTTTTGGTACCAGTACCATGCTGTTTTGGTTACTGTAGCCTTGTAGTATAGTTTGAAGTCAGGTAGTGTGATGCCTCCAGCTTTGTTCTTTTGGCTTAGGGTTGACTTGGCGATGCGGGCTCTTTTTTGGTTCCATATGAACTTTAAAGTAGTTTTTTCCAATTCTGTGAAGAAAGTCATTGGTAGCTTGATGGGGATGGCATTGAATCTGTAAATTACCTTGGGCAGTATGGCCATTTTCACGATATTGATTGTTCCTACCCATGAGCATGGAATGTTCTTCCATTTGTTTGTATCCTCTTTTATTTCCTTGAGCAGTGGTTTGTAGTTCTCCTTGAAGAGGTCCTTCACATCCCTTGTAAGTTGGATTCCTAGGTATTTTATTCTCTTTGAAGCAATTGTGAATGGGAGTTCACTCATGATTTGGCTCTCTGTTTGTCTGTTGTTGGTGTATAAGAATGCTTGTGATTTTTGTACATTGATTTTGTATCCTGAGACTTTGCTGAAGTTGCTTATCAGCTTAAGGAGATTTTGGGCTGAGACGATGGGGTTTTCTAGACAAACAATCATGTCGTCTGCAAACAGGGACAATTTGACTTCCTCTTTTCCTAATTGAATACCCTTTATTTCCTTCTCCTGCCTGATTGCCCTGGCCAGAACTTCCAACACTATGTTGAATAGGAGTGGTGAGAGAGGGCATCCCTGTCTTGTGCCAGTTTTCAAAGGGAATGCTTCCAGTTTTTGCCCATTCAGTATGATATTGGCTGTGGGTTTGTCATAGATAGCTCTTATTATTTTGAAATAGGTCCCATCAATACCTAATTTATTGAGAGTTTTTAGCATGAAGGGTTGTTGAATTTTGTCAAAGGCTTTTTCTGCATCTATTGAGATAATCATGTGGTTTTTGTCTTTGGCTCTGTTTATATGCTGGATTACATTTATTGATTTGCGTATATTGAACCAGCCTTGCATCACAGGGATGAAGCCCACTTGATCATGGTGGATAAGCTTTTTGATGTGCTGCTGGATTCAGTTTGCCAGTATTTTGTTGAGGATTTTTGCATCAATGTTCATCAAGGATATTGGTCTAAAATTCTCTTTTTTGGTTGTGTCTCTGCCCGGGTTTGGTATCAGAATGATGCTGGCCTCATAAAATGAGTTAGGGAGGATTCCCTCTTTTTCTATTGATTGGAATAGTTTCAGAAGGAATGGTACCAGTTCCTCCTTGTACCTCTGGTAGAATTCGGCTGTGAATCCATCTGGTCCTGGACTCTTTTTGGTTGGTAAACTATTGATTATTGCCACAATTTCAGATCCTGTTATTGGTCTATTCAGAGATTCAACTTCTTCCTGGTTTAGTCTTGGGAGAGTGTATGTGTCGAGGAATGTATCCATTTCTTCTAGATTTTCTAGTTTATTTGCGTAGAGGTGTTTGTAGTATTCTTTGATGGTAGTTTGTATTTCTGTGGGATCGGTGGTGATATCCCCTTTATCATTTTTTATTGTGTCTATTTGATTCTTCTCTATTTTTTTCTTTATTAGTCTTGCTAGCGGTCTATCAATTTTGTTGGTCCTTTCAAAAAGCCAGCTCCTGGATTCATTGATTTTTTGAAGGGTTCTTTGTGTCTCTATTTCCTTCAGTTCTGCTCTGATTTTAGTTATTTCTTGCCTTCTGCTAGCTTTTGAATGTGTTTGCTCTTGCTTTTCTAGTTCTTTTAATTGTGCTGTTAGGGTGTCAATTTTGGATCTTTTCTGCTTTCTCTTGTGAGCATTTAGTGCTATAAATTTCCCTCTACACACTGCTTTGAATGCATCCCAGAGATTCTGGTATGTTGTGTCTTTGTTCTCGTTGGTTTCAAAGAACATCTTTATTTCTGCCTTCATTTCGTTATGTACCCAGTAGTCATTCAGGAGCAGGTTGTTCAGTTTCCACGTAGTTGAGCGGCTTTGAGTGAGATTCTTAATCCTGAGTTCTAGTTTGATTGCACTGTGGTCTGAGAGATAGTTTGTTATAATTTCTGTTCTTTTACATTTGCTGAGGAGAGCTTTACTTCCAACTATGTGGTCAATTTTGGAATAGGTGTGGTGTGGTGCTGAAGAAAATGTATATTCTGTTGAATTGGGGTGGAGAGTTCTGTAGATGTCTATTAGGTCCGCTTGGTGCAGAGCTGAGTTCAATTCCTGGGTATCCTTGTTGGCTTTCTGTCTCGTTGATCTGTCTAATGTTGACAGTGGGGTGTTAAAGTCTCCCATTATTAATGTGTGGGAGTCTAAGTCTCTTTGTAGGTCACTCAGGACTTGCTTTATGAATCTGGGTGCTCCTGTATTGGGTGCATATATATTTAGGATAGTTAGCTCCTCATGTTGAATTGATCCCTTTACCATTATGTAATGGCCTTCTTTGTCTCTTTTGATCTTTGTTGGTTTAAAGTCTGTTTTATCAGAGACTAGGATTGCAACCCCTGCCTTTTTTTGTTTTCCATTGGCTTGGTAGATCTTCCTCCATCCTTTTATTTTGAGCCTATGTGTGTCTCTGCACGTGAGATGGGTTTCCTGAATACAGCACACTGATGGGTCTTGACTCTTTATCCAACTTGCCAGTCTGTGTCTTTTAATTGGTGAATTTAGTCCATTTACATTTAAAGTTAATATAGTTATGTGTGAATTTGATCCTGTCATTATGATGTTAGCTGGTGATTTTGCTCGTTAGTTGATGCAGTTTCTTCCTAGTCTCAATGGTCTTTACATTTTGGCATGATTTTGCAGCGGCTGGTACTGGTTGTTCCTTTCCATGTTTAGCGCTTCCTTCAGGAGCTCTTTTAGGGCAGGCCTGGTGGTGACAAAATCTCTCAGCATTTGCTTGTCTATAAAGTATTTTATTTCTCCTTCACTTATGAAGCTTAGTTTGGCTGGATATGAAATTCTGGGTTGAAAATTCTTTTCTTTAAGAATGTTGAATATTGGCCCCCACTCTCTTCTGGTTTGTAGGGTTTCTGCCGAGAGATCTGCTGTTAGTCTGATGGGCTTCCCTTTGAGGGTAACCCGACCTTTCTCTCTGGCTGCCCTTAACATTTTTTCCTTCATTTCAACTTTGGTGAATCTGACAATTATGTGTCTTGGAGTTGCTCTTCTCGAGGAGTATCTTTGTGGCGTTCTCTGTATTTCCTGAATCTGAACGTTGGCCTGCCTTGCTAGATTGGGGAAGTTCTCCTGGATAATATCCTGCAGAGTGTTTTCCAACTTGGTTCCATTCTCCACATCACTTTCAGGTACACCAATCAGACGTAGATTTGGTCTTTTCACATAGTCCCATATTTCTTGGAGGCTTTGCTCATTTCTTTTTATTCTTTTTTCTCTAAACTTCCCTTCTCACTTCATTTCATTCATTTCATCTTCCATTGCTGATACCCTTTCTTCCAGTTGATCGCATCGGCTCCTGAGGCTTCTGCATTCTTCACGTAGTTCTCGAGCCTTGGTTTTCAGCTCCATCAGCTCCTTTAAGCACTTCTCTGTATTGGTTATTCTAGTTATAAATTCTTCTAAATTTTTTTCAAAGTTTTCAACTTCTTTGCCTTTGGTTTGAATGTCCTCCCGTAGCTCAGAGTAATTTGATCGTCTGAAGCCTTCTTCTCTCAGCTCGTCAAAATCATTCTCCATCCAGCTTTGTTCCATTGCTGGTGAGGAACTGCGTTCCTTTGGAGGAGGAGAGGCGCTCTGCGTTTTAGAGTTTCCAGTTTTTCTGCTCTGTTTTTTCCCCATCTTTGTGGTTTTATCTACTTTTGGTCTTTGATGATGGTGAGGTACAGATGGGTTTTAGGTGTGTTGGAATACTCTGCCATGTGAGGTGTCAGTGTGCCCCTGCTGGGGGGTGCCTCCCAGTTAGGCTGCTCGGGGGTCAGGGGTCAGGGACCCACTTGAGGAGGCAGTCTGCCCGTTCTCAGATCTCCAGCTGCGTGCTGGGAGAACCACTGCCCTCTTCAAAGCTGTCAGACAGGGACATTTAAGTCTGCAGAGGTTACTGCTGTCTTTTTGTTTGTCTGTGCCCTGCCCCCAGATGTGGAGCCTACAGAGGCAGGCAGACCTCCTTAAGGTGTGGTAGGCTCCACCCAGTTCGAGCTTCCTGGCTGCTTTGTTTACCTAATCAAGCCTGGGCAATGGCGGGCGCCCCGCCCCCAGCCTCGCTGCCACCTTGCAGTTTGATCTCAGACTGCTGTGCTAGCAGTCAGCGAGATTCCGTGGGCGTAGGACCCTCTGAGCCAGGTGTGGGATATAGTCTCGTGGTGCGCCGTTTTTTAAGCCGGTCTGAAAAGCGCAATATTCGGGTGGGAGTGACCCGATTTTCCAGGTGCCTCCGTCACCCCTTTCTTTGACTCGGAAAGGGAACTCCCTGACCCCTTGCGCTTCCCAGGTGAGGCAATGCCTCGCCCTGCTCCGGCTCGCGCACGGTGCATGCACCCACTGGCCTGCGCCCACTGTCTGGCACTCCCTAGTGAGATGAACCCGGTACCTCAGATGGAAATGCAGAAATCACCCGTCTTCTGCGTCGCTTACGCTGGGACCTGTAGACCTGAGCTGTTCCTATTCAGCCATCTTGGCTCACTATGTGCCACATTTTCTTAATCCAGTCTATCATTTTTGGACATTTGGGTTGATTCCAAGTCTTTGCTATTGTGAATAGTGCCGCAATAAACATACGTGTGCATGTGTCTTTATAGCAGCATGATTTATAGTCCTTTGGGTATATACCAAGTAATGGGATGGCTGGGTCAAATGGTATTTCTAGTTCTAGATCCCTGAGGAATCGCCACACTGACTTCCACAATGGTTGAACTAGTTTACAGTCCCACCAACAGTGTAAAAGTGTTCCTATTTCTCCACATCCTCTCCAGCACCTGTTGTTTCCTGACTTTTGAATGATTGCCATTCTAACTGGTGTGAGATGGTATCTCATTGTGGTTTTGATTTGCATTTCTCTGATGGCCAGTGATGATGAGCATTTTTTCATGTGTTTTTTGGCTGCATAAATGTCTTCTTTTGGGAAGTGTCTGTTCATGTCCTTTGCCCACTTTTTGATGGGGTTGTTTGTTTTTTTCTTGTAAATTTGTTTGAGTTCATTGTAGATTCTGGATATTAGCCCTTTGTCAGATGAGTAGGTTGCAAAAATTTTCTCCCATGTTGTAGGTTGCCTGTTCACTCTGATGGTAGTTTCTTTTGCTGTGCAGAAGCTCTTGAGTTTAATTAGATCCCATTTGTCAATTTTGACTTTTGTTGCCATTGCTTTTGGTGTTTTAGACATGAAGTCCTTGCCCATGCCTATGTCCTGAATGGTAATGCCTAGGTTTTCTTCTAGGGTTTTTATGGTTTTAGGTCTAACATTTAAGTCTTTAATCCATCTTGAATTGATTTTTGTATAAGGTGTAAGGAAGGGATCCAGTTTCAGCTTTCTACATATGGCTAGCCAGTTTTGCCAGCACCATTTATTAAATAGGGAATCCTTTCCCCATTGCTTGTTTTACTCAGACTTGTCAAAGATCAGATAGTTGTAGCTATGCGGCGTTATTTCTGAGGGCTCTGTTCTGTTCCATTGATCTATATCTCTGTTTTGGTACCAGTACCATGCTGTTTTGGTTACTGTAGCCTACCTTTTCAGCTAACATAAACCAAAGAGAAAAAATATACCCATCCATCATTCATGCAAATTCACTCCTGTTTGATGATCTTCTTGCACTCAAGAAGCTGTGCATGCACTATTTACTGTTCACTCAATCGTTAACCCTAAGCCAGTCTCCTCTGCTGTAGTGGAGGTGATTTTGATTCTGGAAATAGCAAAGGCCTGCTTACATATATCTTCTCTGGATCATAGATTTTAAACTTTGCCCTCAAGGGGTCCACAAATGGCCTGAAATTGTTTGCATCTTTTTCCATGCATGAATGCACATTTTTTATGGAGAAACGATTCATCATTTTCATCAGATTTTAAAGTTTATAGCTCAAGCCTGTAATGCAGGAAATAACTACTATGAGATTTAATATTTTTTGAAAGAGAGATGATAGAAATGCCAAAATTGGAGAAAAAGTGTTATATATTCCACAACAATATATATATAAATGAAATTTTACTATTTGAAAATATTAGAAGATATGAAATCTTATTTAACATCTTTAACAATGTTAGCATGAAAAGAGTGGACATTTTAGACTTAATACAGGCACACTTTTTCTTTTGCCAGAACCTTTGCATTTACCTCATGGTACTCTGTCATGGTAATAAAATAAAAGTCTTTAACCTGAATTCTCATTTTTAAAGCTAGATAAGTTCATTGCACATGAAGTTGCCTCTGGCAACCCTCACTGAGTTGGAAATGCAGAGGCCTTAGGCAGAGCTATTGTGTATGTGTGCCATTTGTTTAAACCGCTGCATTTTACCTCTGAAGGTATATGTTTTGTACATTGAAACACAACTTACTGACTTGTGTGTATATGTTCGCATGCTTTAATCCATTTTATTGAAACACTGAGATAAGTACACCTTCATTGCACAGACCTTCTGGTTTCTCTGACTATCTCCTTATCCAACCAGCAGAGCCTCCCAAATATCTCTCTGATATCGGGTATGTGACTTCCTTTATTTTCAATTCCCTCCTAGCAGTATTTGCTCTCCTGGTGTTATTCCTTTGCCTTTGCTTCAAGGACTCATATCTGGAAATAAACAAACAAGTTACAGGATGCAATCTGTTTATCTTCCAACACAGATAATTTCTTAGAGAACATTCCTTTAAATGCCTTCCTTTAAATATAATTTCTTACTGTAAACATAACTATCAAGGAGATAAAGTTTTAAATGCAGCTTCAAAATTATTTGTTTAGTGTGAGAAAGTCATTCTTATTATTAAAGATAATAATCTAAACTAAAGATGTTTTCCTTGGTGTAGCAGATTGATAATATTTCTCATATCTCTTTTCTACCTAATGTAGTATGCAAGAAGACTTGCTTTTAAAAGAAATGTTTTCAATTTTTTTCTTTTAGTCTACTTATTCAAATATCACACACATTTATTTCTATGTGAGTATATTTATACCGAAGTTAACATTGTTTCACTTTTCCTCTCTGAAAAGCAAATTATGAATATTTCTTCCCTCAAATCACTCAGACTTGTGTCATGCTGTTCATTATTCCATTGTATGTATGTGTCATGACTTACTTTCCTAAGGAATATATAGATTTTTAAAACAATATTATGATTTGGCAGTCAATAAGCCTTTCCAAACTGAAGGTTTAAAGTTCTGATGCTTTGGGGGTTTATTATTATAATTGTAGTTAATTTTTCTTGATCCTGGAAAAATGGTCTTCGGAGAATTTTTATTTTTCGTTTGATAAGTGATCTAATTCCTCTATTTGATATATTAATTATTAAAATGTAATTTACGTGATTTTAAATTCCATTTATTTTATTCTAAAGTCCAGATTTTTATGCTTTATTTTATAATTAATTGATAATAGTTTCTGGATTCTTATGACTACTAAGATATTTTCTGTTTATTTTTAGTAAAAAACCTTATACTTACACTAAAAAAACCTGATAAAGTAGTAGAATAATTATCTCTCTCTTAGAGATGAGAATGCAGAGACACAAAAAGGTTAAGTGACTAATCCAAGATCACTAAGTTAGTAAACGGTAGAGGTTATGTTCTTAATCATTAATGCATAATGCTTCTGGTCATTTTTTTTGTTCTTTGCTCTGGCTTTTGGGGAAATTATTGGACATAGCTCATTTCACTATTTTTATTGTAACAGAATCTTATCCTTAAACAGCTTTATTGAGGTGTAATAGATATTTAAAAATTTCACATATTTAATATGCACAGTTTGGTGAGTTTAGATATATGCAAATGCCATGATAGCATCACCACAATCAAAGTAATAAACAGACACATTCAACAACTCCTGAAGTTTACCTGTGCTCCTTTTTATTTATTATTATTGGGTTTGTGGGTGTTTTGTTTGAGGTTTTATGTGTGTTAAGAAAACTTAACAAGAGATCTACTCAACAATTTTGAAGTGCACAAAACCATCTTATTAACTATAGGTACTATGTTGTACTGCAGATCTCTAGAACATATTCATCTAACATAACTAAAACTTTATACCCATAGATCACAACTTCCAAGAACAACTCTGCATTTTCCCCAATCCCCAGCCTTTGACAACCAGTATTATATTTTTTGCTGTTATAAGTTTGACTATTTAAAATACCTTATATAAATGAGATCATGCAGTTTGCCCTTCTGTAATTGCCTTATTTTACTTAGCATACTGTCATCCATATTCTTCCACATTGTCTCAAATGTTAGGATTCCTTCTTTTTAAGGAGCGATTGATATTCGATTGTATGCATGTGACACATTATCTTTATCCATTCATCTACTGATGGCATTTGGCTTGTTTCCATATTATATCTTGGCAATTGTGAGTAATGTTGCAATGAACATGAGAGTGCAGATAACTCTTCAAGATCCTGAGTTCAGTGGTTTTAGATATACACCCAACAGTGAGATTGTTGTATCATGGTTGTTTTATTTTTATTTTTCTGATAAACAGCTATATTCCTTTCCATAGCTGCTGTACAATCTTCTAAGGTACTTTTCCACTAACAGTGTATGTGTCCCAATTTCTCCACATTTTTGGAAACATTTAAGGTTTTTGATATTACAATGACTGTACTAATAGGTGTAAGGTGTTATCTTCTTATAGTTTTGATTTGCAAGTTCCCTGATCATTAACAATATTCAATATGTTTACACATATCTGCTGGCCATTTGTATGTCTTCTTCAAAGAAATATTTCTTCAAGGTCTTTACATATTTCTATTTAGGTTATTTAATATTTTGCTTTGAGTTGTAGGAGTTGCTTATATATTTTGGATGTTAACTCTTTTTTGGATATATGGTTTGCAAATATTTTCTGCTATTCAGTAGATTACCTTTCATTTGTTCTGTGTGGCAGCTTTCTGTTTCTGTGCGGAAGCTTTTCAGTTTGTTCTAGTCTCACTTGTGTATTTTTGTTTTTGCTGCTTATGCCTTCAGTATCAAATCCCAGAAATTATTATTGCCAAGACCAATGTCATGAAGCTTTTTACAGTTTTCCTCTAGGAGTTTTATAGTTGTTAAGTCTTAAATTCAAGTTTTTATCTATTTTGAGTTGATCTTTTTATATAATGTAAGGTAAAGAGTCCAATTTTATTCTTTCTCATGTAGATATGTAGTTGTCCTAGCCTTTGTTGAATAGCCTATTCCTTTATCATTATTTATTCTTGGCACCCTTGTCAAAGATCAGTTGACTGTATATGAATGAATTATTTCTGGGTTCTTTATGTTGTTCCATTTATTTATGTTTGTCTTTATGCCAGTGCCATAATGTTTTAATTAATGTAGCTTTGTAACATATTTTGAAATAGCAAAGTGTGTTGCCTCCAACTTTGTTTATCTTTCTTGGGGTTGCATTGGCCATTCTGAATGTTTTGTGGTTTCATATAAATTTTAGGATTTTTTTTTTCTATTTCTGTTAAAAAAGGTCATTGGGATTTTGATGGAATAACATTGAATCTTTAGATGACTTTGAGTAATATGGACATTTTAAGAACATTAAGTCTTCTAATCCATGAACACAGGATATCTTTCCATTTATAGTGTCTCCTTTATTTCATCTCTTTTATAGTTATCAAGGTCTAATCTTCACCTCTTTGGTTAAATTATTCCTATTTTATTCATTTTTATGCTATTGGAAATGGATGTTACCTTAACTTTTTTCAGATAATTTATTGTTAGATTACAGAAACATGACTAATTTTTGTATATTAATTTTACAGGATTGGTGTATTTTAAGGCTTTGTGTGTGGAAACATTAAAGTTTTCCGTATATAGGATCATGTCATCTGCAAACAGAGATTGTTTTACCTCTTCCATTCTGATTTGGATTTATTTTATTGGCAATGTCAATTGAACAGAACATTTATAAAATCATGCTCTAGGACGAAGGAGAATTTATCCCTTGGATACGAGAAGGCTTCTACACACACAAGTAACTAAATGTGACATACCACATTAACGGAATGAAGAATAAAAATCACATGGTCACCTCAAATATTACATGATCATCTGTCAAATGGAGAAACAGCATTTGCCAAAACTCAACACCATGATAAAAATGCTCAACAAACTAGATACAGAGGAAATGTACCAAAGCATGATAAAGGCCATATATATTACAAATCCACCATAAACATCATACCAAACAGTGAAAAACTGAAATATTTTCCTATAAGATCAGAAACAAAAGAAGAATGCCAACTCTCAACACTTCTATTCAACACTCTTATTCACATCTAATACATTGATGAGAATGTTTTCTGCTATTCAGTAATTCTATTGAGATGTTTCTGGTTTTTAAAATTTCAGTTATTATGGCTATTTAATTGAAATTGCTGATACATATTTTAGATTGAAATTGATAGTTTTTATGTTGATCTCGTATTTTTAAAGAATTACAATATTTTATTGTTTTATGTATATAGTTGTTAGTATGTAGATATGATCCAACCAATTTATGTTTACCAGTATATATGTTCAACACTTTAAAGAAAAAATATATGTCATATGCGTCTGTTTGTATGAAAGTTTTATGTTTATTTAAATATCTGAAAAAGCTATTTCTGGGTTCCATATAAATGAACAAAATAATGTGGATAAGCACAGAATTTCCAAGTTAAAACTCCACAAATTCACTAGCTTCTTGTATCTCAATTTGTGAAACCACAGTACAATACCAGGTTGAATTATTTTATCCTTATGTTTGCTGGGTTTTTTACCAATTATTTGTTAATTAAGTTTAAATTTGAAATATAATATATGAGTCAGATGTTTTTCTGTATATTACTTTTTTGATTGTCCTCCAATTTCTTTATAATAATAATATTTAATATTACTTTTGTTCATCATGTTATGCCTTTTTTTAAGACTGTCAATTATTCATGCTCTGGATTTCTCTTTCTTTTTTTTTTTCTTTTATTTAATTTTTTTATTATTATTATACTTTTAAGTTTTAGGGTACATGTGCACATTGTGCAGGTTAGTTACATATGTATACATGTGACATACTGGTGCGCTGCACCCACTAACTCGTCATCTAGCATTAGGTATATCTCCCAATGCTATCCCTCCCCCATCCCCCCACCCCACAAGAGTCCCCAGAGTGTGATATTCCCCTTCCTGTGTCCATGTGATCTCATTGTTCAATTCCCACATATGAGTGAGAATATGCAGTGTTTGGTTTTTTGTTCTTGTGATAGTTTACTGAGAATGATTTCCAATTTCATCCATGTCCCTACAAAGGACATGAACTCATCATTTTTTATGGCTGCATAGTATTCCACGGTGTATATGTGCCACATTTTCTTAATCCAGTCTATCATTGTTGGACATTTGGGTTGGTTCCAAGTCTTTGCTATTGTGAATAATGCCGCAATAAACATACGTGTGCATGTGTCTTTATAGCAGCATGATTTATAGTCCTTTGGGTATATACCTAGTAATGGGATGGCTGGGTCAAATGGTATTTTCAGTTCTAGATCCCTGAGGAATCGCCACACTGACTTCCACAATGGTTGAACTAGTTTACAGTCCCACCAACAGTGTAAAAGTGTTCCTATTTCTCCACATCCTCTCCAGCACCTGTTGTTTCCTGACTTTTGAATGATTGCCATTCTAACTGGTGTGAGATGGTATCTCATTGTGGTTTTGATTTGCATTTCTCTGATGGCCAGTGATGATGAGCATTTTTTCATGTGTTTTTTGGCTGCATAAATGTCTTCTTTTGAGAAGTGTCTGTTCATGTCCTTCGCCCACTTTTTGATGGGGCTGGATTTCTCTTTCTATCTTTAGAAATGTATTGTCTTTCCTCTGTTCCTCATTTGGTACACTGTATTTGGTGTGTTTTATTGTTGATTCAAATACAATGTGTTTTCATCTCTTTAAGATATTTTTTACTTTCTTCATTGTTTTATAGATTTCAAGCTTCATGAAAGCTACTTTTTTTTTTGCAAAATATATTCTAGTCTTTACTCTTTACAATGATGTTTAAACACCTTCTATGTCACTGTAAATAACTGTTCATAATTTCTAAATTAACTCTTTTAGGCCACTTTTTGTTTCAGATTTAATCCATCAAAATACATTCTTAAAAATGAAAATATATAATAAATTTTAATTTTCTTGTTTCCTGCAATAAATATTTTTAAAATACCTGAGTATAATTTAATACACTTTTATATTAGAAAGTTTTGCTTATGGGTAGCTGTACTAGGTGCTATTTAGTTTATTACTTTTGAATTTTTCTTTTTCTAAACTTTCATATTCTTCCACAAGAACATAGCTTGAAGTTTTCCATTGTTAGTTAACTTTCATGTTACTATCTTTGAAAACTTCCACTTCCTTTCATTATACATGAAGACTGCAATCTACCTGCTGAATTCAGACACCTTTGTTTGAACTGATTAGCAAATATTTTTAGCTTTCATATGTGGCTGTTACCCAGATCAATTTATTCCTGTCAATATGGCCTTTTGTCTATCAAATAGTAACTAAGATAATTATTAGCCATTTTAAGCACTTTCTTATTATTTTGTAAAATGTTATAAAACAGTTACAAAGATAAATCTTGTTGGATGCATGTCTCATATACAAAACATAATTAAGAGATTATTTTAAATAATGAGGCCCTCTAAAGGTATGAAATCTTTGAATGCACAGTAGATGTATACTGTCAGAAAAGTATTCAACTATAAATAAAAAGAACACATTTAAATGATATGTATTAAAATATGAGAAATATAATATTAACTACTGTGTCCATCAGGAAAGTGAAACTGAAGGTCATATGTTTTTAAATTTTTCTTGCTCTCCTTAATTGCATATACCAATAATGCTCTCCTTAACTGCATATACCAATTAGTTGAATTTTCATGTTAAATACTGCATATTTCCAGAAGTATTATGGACAATATGATGAAAACTAAACCAAGAACAGTTTCCTTCCTCTGAAGACATTTTCTTTGTCTTTTTCTTTCATTATCTGTGAAAGTGTCATTGTCAGCTTCTGCTCATAGATTTCCAAATCTCTTTTTCAGTATAACTGGCCTTTCTTTCATGTATCCACAAGGATTCAGCTCTTTTAAAATTATTTCTTGACTAGCTTAGGAGAAATCTAGACTTAGATAAGGGTAAATGGTGAAAATCACGTTCCTTTGCAGCTACTGATTTTCAAAAGAATATTGCAATGTGAGAGCAAGCAGTAATTATATTTTTATAGTTATGAAAGTATATAATTTTAAATGGCATTAATTTGATCCTAAATTTTAAACGAAATACTTTTGCACTAATTTACATCCCCACCAAGATTGTATGAGTGTTCCCCTTTCTCCACATATTTGCCAGCATTTATTTTCTGTCATTTTTATAGTAGCCATTTTAACTGGGGTGAAGTGATATCTCATTGTGATTTCAATTTGTATCTTCCTGATTAGTTACGTTGAGCATTTTTTCATATACCTGTTACACATTCATATGTCTTCTGTTGAAAAATGTCTGTTCACATCTTTTGCCTATTTTTAAATTAGATTTTTTTGTCCTATTGAGTTGTTTGAGTTCCTTATATATTCTGATTGTTAATATTTTGTCAAATAGTTAAATGTTTTGTTTATTGCAGCACTATTCACAGTATCCAAGATATGGAATCAGCTTAAGTGTCCATCAATGGATGAATGGATTAAAAAAAATACACAATAGAATATTATTCAAGCATGAAAAAGAGTGAAATCCTGTCATTTGCACCAACATGGATAGAGCTGGAAGTCATTATGTTGCACGAAATAAGCCAGGCACAGACAGACAAATATTACATTTTTTCACATATATGTGGGAGCTTAACAAATTTGATCTCAAGAAGATAGTGAGCAGAATAGTGGTTAAAAGGGGCTGGGAAGATTGGGGGGACATGAAGATAAAATGGTTTATGTGTACAAAAATACAGTTAAATAGAAGTAATAAATTCTAATGATTAAAAGCTGAGTAGGGCAACTATAGTTTACAAGAATTTATAGTATATTTAAAAATAACTAAAAAAGAAGATATGGAAATTCCCAACCCAAAGAAATTATAACTGTTTGAGGTGATGGATATCCCAATTATTCTGATTTGATCACTACACAATTTATGCATGTACCAAAAAATACATGTACCCCATAAATATGTACATCTATTATGTAACAATTAAAAAATCCTAAAAAATATAAAATTGAAGAAAAATACATACAAATGACCAAAAGTTATATGAAAAAAATGTTTAACATAACTAATCATCAGAAAAATGCAAATTAAAAAAATTAAATGGTTTTGAAATAAAGTTTCTGTAACTGGGAACATATCTCTCCAAATCTACTACATATCTTTTCCTTTATTTTGTTTTTATTTTATTTTCCTAAATTATAATTTAGCTGATTTATGCTAAGTGTTGTCTTTGCTATTGTTTTCAATAAGATATTAACCTTTTAAAGTTACCAGGAAACTTGGCTAGACAGTAGGCAGACACCACCAATTGGTTATGAGCATTCAGGGAGCATCTACTACTGGTCGAGATGAGCATTTCTTCATTCTCAGTGACAAATTACTCTTTTCTGAAAGAGTAGAGATGAATTTCGTTCAAGTATGAAGCACACTTTATTTTATTTTAAGACTTTTTTCTTGTTAACTGAATTCAATCCGATCTTGTTGTTGTTGGCAATTTTTATCCAGCCTCCTCCATTACTCAGCCAATCTGAACTGTCATTACCCTGCTTAAGGCAGGCCCTGATGCAGTATAATCAGGTAAATACATTCAAATGATAAAAGTCTTAGGTAGGATACATGCTCCTCATTGGGAATATATGTATTCACAGGTGGTACTCTAGATTTTAAATTCCATGGCTGTGAACTTGTTCCAACGGATAAATGCATTGATATTTCCGGTTAAAGATGAAATACTAATATCCCAAGACAACAACATCTCTTCAGCTATTTACAACAAAGTCATAAGTCAACACCAAGCAGCTGTTTCATTTATTTCCTTATATCAAGATTTTTAACTTCTTAGTCTAATGAATCAACCTGAGGTTGATTCAGCTTTGCATTCATGCCAATAGTCAGTTCTCTTGTAACTTAATAATTTAAGTGGATCCTTGTCATTTTCCCATACTATAACAAGTAATCAGTCATAAAACAAAGTCATGACATATGTAGACTCATCAACTTAGAGAGTAACTTTTCATACCCCAAACCTCAGCATCACGTTATATACCCATGTAACAAACCTGTACATGTGCCCCCGTACCAAAAATAAAAGTCAAAATTATAAAAGATGAAAATCATATTATTACTTTTATTTTTAAAGTAACATGAATAATGTTATAAACTCTTTCTAGATTAAAGCAAAATAAATTCCTGGCTTCTTGTAGCATGTTTAAAAGATGAATTAACTTCACAGAACTAGGCCTGTTTCAATTGATGGAATGTTTTTAAAGGAATAGTGACAAGCATAACGAATACAAGAAAACATAAAATTACATTATCTAAGAGCAAAATGACAGGTAAATATCTGAAAAATTAGTTAGGAATGTTTCTCTGGACATGGAACATCAAGTGATTATGTAGCTGTTGCTACCCATCACAAATCAGATGGTGTCAGACCCATCAAAATATAAGTTGGGTGGACCCAACAGCAATCCATCATAAATTAGATCAAAATCTGGTATCAAGATAAAGCAGGGCTAGAGGGTAAATTCAAGCTGTTTGAACAGATAGCCACATTCTCATGTCATCTTCAAGTGTTTTATCATAGCCTCTTCTTCAGCTCACACCTATGGCCAGTGGAATACCAGCTGATAAAAGAGGAAGAAGTATAAGTTTGATTCAAAGTATCAGTTCAATATGTGGGTGCAAGCTTAAAGTGACTGATTGCTGTGCTATGGCACAATTTAATGGTGACCCAAAAGAGAGCAGTGAGGAAAAGTGGTAGACAGGCTTGTTTTATACCTGTTCATCTAATTAGTGTGGAAGGAAATGTGGCCTTCCACACTAAACAATGGTGCTATGAACTAAATTATATTCCTCTAAAATTCATACATTAAAGTACAAATCCATGCCACCTCAGAATATAACTGTATTTGAAAGTAAGATCCTTAAAGAGTGATTAAGTTAAAATGAGGCTGCTTTGGTGGTGCCCTAATCCAATATGACTGGTGTCCTTATAGTAAGAGAAAGAGACACCAGGGATGTATGGGCACAGAAAAAAAGGTCATGTGAGCAAACAGCAAGAAGGTAGCAATTTGCATGCAAAGGAAAGAGGTCTCAGGAGATATTTTATCATTACTGGATAAACACATATTTTGATATGGAGTTGCCTTTCCTGATTGAAATTTCTGAGGTAGATATACAGAAACTTAGGGAGTATTTGATCTACTGACATTATATAAGACGAAGGGACAAATGTGACAGCAAAGAGGTGGCAGTTATCATTAACTGTGCCATCCATTGCACCATCCACTGTATCATACTACACAGAAGCTGCAAGTTTGATAGAGTAAAGGCATAACCTGTTGAAGGTACAGTTGAAATGTTAGCTTGAGGAGAAAAAACCCCACAGATACCATAGATCAATTACCATTTCAATCACCATCATATAATAAAGTGTCTTCATTTGGTAAATAAAATTAGTCTGAGAACAAAGAAGTGAAATTAGCAGTGACCCTGTTTATCTTGATTTCCGGTTATCTACTTAGAAAATATGTCCTTCATCTCTTCACCTCTGGGCTCTTAGTAGTTAATGGTTCTATTCCCTAGAGGAGAAATGTTTTTATTTGATAACACAGAAAAATCCCCATTAAACTTCTAGATATGATAACATCCCAGTCACATTGTTCTCTGCATGCTTAGAGATCAACAGATAGAAAAAGAGTTAAATCCTGTCAGAGTGAATTGGCTCTGCTCATTGGGAGGAGGTAAGGCTTTGTTACCTAATAGGGAGGGTATGAAAGAATAAATTGGAAAACTAGGCCATTTATTTTGCTATTACTTGATATTCCTTTGTTCAATTTTGACTGTAAATGAAAAATGCAGTAACTTCAACTCCAGAAAGGATGAAGTCCTCTGCCTAATGAGCATATACAATAATCAATTATATGGAGAATCTAGAATGAATGAGAGAAGTGCTGGTGATGATATTTGGTTATGCCATCGAAGAAAGTTACAGAGTCAAGGGCTATAGGTTATCATATTAATCTATCACTTAAAACTTTCTGCCTGGAAACAAGGCCCAATATAATCCTGAAGAAGCAATCTCCATAATGTCAATGAATCACATACATCTGAGTGACTTAAGGGATGGGCATGTCGTGGTGAGCAACCCACATACCCTCTTAGTGGGTTGAAGCACTCATTATCCTGGGGATGTTGGTGGTCCACAGCTCCCAGCTGCATCCCTTTCTTGGACTTGCTTTTATATGTAGAAAGTTGTTTCTCCCAAGGTCATTATGCTTTCAAAGGGGCAACCTGAATCTCGTGCCTAGTCAATGTGGGGTGATTGACTAGGCCCAGCTCCCTGCCCCAAAGACCCAAATCTCTTGACCAAATGAGAAACAATTTAGAAGGGTCCATCTCAATTCCAGAGCTCTTGGTAGGATTGACCAAAGCATTTTTTGAGAAGGCATTATAGTTCAACTTTAATCTCTGAAAATGTTGATTATATGAGTGCTCTTCAATTATCTTCCTGTACGTAAATCCTCATCTCAGAGTTTTCTTTGCAGAGAAATTGATCTAAAATGTCTTTTCATTTCTTTGAATTTTAACTATTTTGCTTCAACATTTGACATTGTCTGACATTAGTGGCATAGCTTCCTGCCCTCAAGGAGCTCTTAATCAAGAAAGGAAGATACTATCTTTAATAGTACATTATTTCTATAAATTGAAAAGCATTTAATGAATTATTTAAAAGAAAATATTCACTATAATTGTGCTTTTCTTTTTTATTTCAGAGAGCAAAAAATGTGATTGCTAGATATTTTAAGTCTTAACTGTCAAATAATTTTTTACTCTATAAATAATTTAAGATCTATGAAGCTGGTGAAGAAATAGATGCTCGATATATTAGCACATAAATTATAAGTAATAAAATTAGAAATGGGAGTTCTAATATCTGAGCCTCTAAAAGAAAAATGGAAAAGAAATTCCACTACAAATTTTTATCTGATAAAATAGAAACGTATTTATATTTTGACTTTCTTATCTTCTTTAAAGATTGGGCTGTAATCACTATATGTCAATGCAATAGGTGATTCAAAAGCAGGGAGATGATCAGACTGGTCACTATACTGGGTCTGTTAGGTAGTTGCAGCATATTTTGATTCTATATGTATTGATTTTGACATTTTTCATTTTATAGTTATATATATTATACACATGTTACATACTGTATGTTTTTAATATTTTTTATTTTTATTTTTTTACTTTTTACTGTTTACACTAATATCACCCTATTCTAAGGTATCATCCCTTCAAACCTATACTACTTCAATTGCTTACAAAATTGTTTTCCACTATTATCTCTCTGTATTCTTTCCCTCACATAGCAGCCAGAGTGACCTTTTAAAATATAGGATAGATTATGTAATTTCTTTTTCCAGGCACTCCTGTAGCATTGTCCTGCTTGAAATATTAATATAATAATATTTAAATCCTTCTATGGACTACAATGTTCTATGGAATACAACATTCTATAGGATCTCGGGTAATTCTATAAGACCTTTGATCTTTTCTTGAGATCAAAAAAGTAACTGAACTTTTCTGATCTCATCTCTACATAACTTGTTTAGGCATATACATGATATGCCTATGTCAACATGCACAGGTTGAGAAGTTAGGTGATTTCTGAAGACGTTTACAGGGTTTACATATTATTGTTAAAAAAAGGAGAGAGAAAAAAAATGGGAGAAAGTTAGGGGTAGTAAAGTTTGAATTTCTTAACACTCATATTACTATCCTAAAGGACAGCTCCCAATGCCCTCAATTACAACTGACCACTTGTGTGCGGAGTCACAGTGGAAATGGCCAACTTGGAGGCATATGCCAGAACAGTCCATTCCAACTGATGAACAGTGCCTGTTAAAACAGCCAATTCAATTGAAGAGGAAAGTATTTTGTCAAATGCATTTTTCTAAATATTACATTATACATTTGAGATATGTCTAGAATACAGATAATCATGGTACCAATATTATTTGCTACTTAATCATGTTTTTCTTACTTTTTTGAGTCTATGAGTCTTAGAAGATAATTAAATTTATTCAATCCCTCATTGTTACAGCTTTGCATGTGACTGTACACATAACTGGGCAGATAAAGTGTAAAAAGATTAATCTGTCACAAAAGCTGCCAGAATATCATAAGAGTCTTTTGCATAATTTGTCTTTGCTTTCATAATGTAAGAGAAGTTCTGATTATTCATTTATAATAAAAAGTGATAAATGATTGCAACAGAAAATAAATTAAGATGATACAATAATGGAAATGGTAAAAAGAAAATCGGTAATTTAGATAAAGTATTACTAATTTTTGTGTATATATTTAATGTTTTAAATTGTACTATCAGACATTTGAATTTTTGAAATTCATCATATTCCATCCTAAAAAACATGTTTTGCTTTTTTACTTTGGCATTATGCCAATGGCCTAGAGTGAAAAAATTTCCTATATCTTTTAATTTATATATTGTATAAATATTGATAAGGACAGGCTTTCTTATTGTCCACTCTCAAGTCTTCTCTCTCAAGTCTTCTGGAAGACTTTTCTTTCCAGTTATTATATTAACATAATTATTATGACTTCTTTTTGCCATTCTCCTTTAATTCTAGTAAGAATTCTCTCTCCTGCTTTTTTCTCTGTGTGGATTTGATCCTTCTTATGGGAAATTGCAAAGTTTCCCTAGACTGTTTTTACTCTTGGCCACTTCACTCTGGGTCCTAGGAGAGCACAACTTTCTCTTTTCCCATTCTATACTTTCTTTTTTGGCTGTGAAACTGACTAATTGAACACGTGCTGCAATATGCATAAGAAACATTATCGCCTATGACTAGACCAGTGCCTGCAGTTCCAAAATCATCCTCATACTACTCCTGGGTTGCCATGTAACTCTAGCAAACAGGGATAGAAAAAGTGACACACTTTATCTAACTAATGAGTTAAAACTATGAAATATGCAGTTAACTTATCTTCCTCATTAATTCAAGTTAATGAAGCAAGTAGAAAGGAGAATTGTTCTGATTCATGCAACATACAAAGACTATTTTCCCAAGCATTTCAAATTTTTTGCTGTTTCTATTCACTCTGGCTAGCTCTATATACAGAGAAAGTTTCAATAGACCTATTTCCCATGTATTTAGACTATATATGTATCCTAATATGGTCGTAAGTACAAGGTATTTTTATAGATTTAGAGAAGGAACTAGGAGGGAAAAATGAGAAGAGTAAAGAGAAGGCACAAAAAAACAGTTTTTGTTATTGCTATTGTTGTTTCAGAGCCATTCACCTATAGCTAAAGCATGTTTAAGATGCTTTACGTTGTGGAATGTCTCCAGAATCTTTCCTGGGCCATATTCTCTGATGTATTTACTATGTCTCTGAAGCAATCTCATCCCTTTCATTGTTTAAATGTCATTTACATGCTGATGTTTTCTAAGTATGAAAACCTGGGTCATCAACATAAGATGATAAAAATACCATTGCATAAATACTCCTACAGATTTGTGATATTCATTTAGTTGTGAAATGCTGAATTTTTAAATGATTAGGACTAATTTGATAGGAATGGTTGATAGATTAGGTTTAATTATGAAGTAAGTATTTCTTCAAACATGAATGCTATCAGTATAATGCATTTTCATAATTTCAGAATGTCTTTGATTTTGGAGATATGTCCAGTGATAAATCCTGTAACAGATGTTTAAAGAATCCCAGAAAGCTATGGAAAGGGTATATGTATATATTAAATGTCATTAGTAAAAAGCAATCTTTTCTCATTGAAATATAATTGAAATATTTTTAAAAAGAATTTTCATTGCACTATTTTACATTCCTAGGCAATCTGCTAAAGCTTTAGGGGGTGCTTGTGGCATAATTAAATTTGTTCCATATTAAACTGTAGCTTGATTAGTGCAATTGAATAAAATGATATTATTAATTACAGATGGAATTCTATTCTACAAATTTTATAAAGAAATTAAATAAAATCTTTCTGTTATTATTACTGTGCTTACTATATGTCATTAGGTCTTTATTTAGGAAGATTAGTTTTGTTAATATCGATTTAACAAGCTGTCTCATGTAAATTAAAATATTTTCGTGATGTCATCTCTCACTGGCATCAAGAAGGGTTTTTATCATATTTGACACTGTAATGAATTTTAGAAAGCTTAGAGATATTTAGAATTACTGATATAATTTTAAGAAATCAGACATAGCTTTTGATGTTTTCTCTAAGATGAGTATTTTTATTTTGTTTTGATAGAAAATGATAAAGAGGCCGGGCGCGGTGGCTCACGCCTGTAATCCCAGCACTTTGGGAGGCCGAGGCGGGCGGATCACGAGGTCAGGAGATCGAGACCATCCTGGCTAACACGGTGAAACCCCGTCTCTACTAAAAATACAAAAAAATTAGCCGGGCGTGGTAGCGGGCGCCTGTAGTCCCAGCTACTCGGGAGGCTGAGGCAGGAGAATGGCGTGAACCTGGGAGGCGGAGCTTGCAGTGAGCCGAGATCGCGCCACTGCACTCCAGCCTGGGCGACAGAGCGAGACTCCGTCTCAAAAAAAAAAAAAAAAAAGAAAATGATAAAGAAATTTTCAGGTGGTTTTAAAGACTGTATGAACAATGTACAGCAAGTCCACTTGTTTTATAAGGAATCTCATACCCTGGATGCTTAGTTAATTTCTATTTGCCACTTTAGATACTCTCAAACTTCAGTAAATTTTTTCACCCAGTAATAGGATAAATACATTATGCTTTGGTAGTAAATCACATGCTTACAAATAAAATTAAAATCAACTGAACCCCCTTATGTAAAATAATTTTTAATAATAATGTACACTAAAGATGCTTACTATAAATAAAAGTGTAGTGTTTTGAGGTATGCTTAATGGCCAGCCTACCCTAGTTTCATTCTTTAGTCTTAGGTGTTTTCTCACTATTACAGTGTTTGTCAAACTGGCATTCCTAATGAGGAAAGTTTATTCTTCACAAACAATGAATAGTGAAGTGACTCTAGCTAGAAGAAGAGAAGGTTGCCAATTTTTGAATATTTAGCTAAGTCCTCTCTCTCACACACACTGTATAAATAATATATATTTTCTTTCTCTCTCTCTCTCTCACACACACACACACATACTCACACATGCACACATGGACATATTTATACACACACGCACACACACACGTTTTCTTCTATCTGAAGACATTGCAGCTCAGAGACTCTTTCAAGGACTAAATTCATAAAATGTTGCCTGATTTCCATGCCGCTACCTTTTTCTCTCTCACACACACACACACGCATACACACACAGGCATACACACACACACACACACAAATACACGTGTGTTTTCTTCTGTCCTGAAGATATTGCAGCACAAAGACTCTTTCAAGGACTAAATTCATAAAATGTGGTCTGAGTTCCATGCCACTACCTTTAATAGCCTCTCTATGCTAGATTCTCAGGTTGGTCAATGTAGTTCAGTGAGATCATTTACCTATAATTTGCACAATTAGAAGATGCTGTTGTTTTCTCTGTGTCTCAACCTATGGATTCAGACAACTGTTTCTCCAACAGGCAGCAAATTGGTAAAAAGAAAGACAAACAAAAAACAAAACAGTGCCTTCTAGAGAGATGTGTAACAGCACAAAAAATAATTTATTTAGCTTTTACAGTCAATATGATAATAGGTTCATCTATTTTTTGCATTAATTCTGTTCAGTGGTTTTTCTATGGATAATTGTTTCATTTATTTCCTACAATAAAAAGATCTTTAGTGTACATGATCATAATGATGAAAATAAATATATAACATTTATCTTTCTGTTTTCATTATACTATCATTTATGCAATTCAGTGATCCTGAAATAATTAGGGGAAACAGGTTTAACTGTAGAGGGTTATAAGTAGTAATATTGGATTTTTACTCTGTCTATTTGAGCTTTTCAAAAGTGTCATTAAATATGTCCATATGCTCCTTCCATTTGTTGTGTGAAGTTTGGCACTGAGAGCAATTAGATATCATGCAATAACCAAATCATCATGGCAAATTGAAAATCAAATAATGGAATGTGTATAAATTTTTATTTAACTCAAAATAATCTAATTCTTTCTCCTTGCTGGCCCTCCAGATTTAAATACAGACCTTTACCCCACAGAGTGATCCAAGGTTAGAAGGCAACTTTTTCTGTTCACACAATAGATAAAAGAACAGTTTCTGACATATGTATTAGTTCGTTCTTGGACTGCTATAAAGAAATACCTGAGATTGAGCAATTTATTAAAAAAGATGTTTAATTGGCTCTTGGTTTCATAGACTGTACAGAAAGCATGGTGTCACCAGCTTGGCTTCTCTGGAGGCCGCAGGGAACTTACAATCATAGCAGAAGGTGAAGGGAAAGCAGACACATCTTACATGGCTGGATCAGGAGCAAAAAAGAAAATGGGGAAGGTGCCACACACTTTCAAACAACCAGACCTCACAAGAAATCATCATTACCACAGTGGTACCCAGGGGAATGCTGTTAAACCATGAGAACCCACGCTATGACCCAATCACCTTCCACCTGGCCCTACCTCTATTATTGGGGGTTATAATTTGACAAGAGATTTGGGTGAGGACACAGAGCCAAACCATATTATTCAGTCTCTGTACCCTTCCAAATCTCATGTTCTCACATTTTAAAAATACAATCTTCCCTTCTCAACCATCCCTCAAAGTCTTAACTCATTCCATCTTTAATGCAGAAGTCCACAATCCAAAGTCTCATCTGAGACAATGTGAGTCCCTTCTGCCTATGAGCCTGTAAAATCAAAAACAAGTTAGTTACTTCCAACATACAATGGGGGTACAGACATTGGGTAAATACTCCCCTTCCAAAAGAGAGAAATTGGCCAACGCAAAAATGCTACAGGCCTCATGCAACTCCAAAACCCAGCACAGCAGTCATTAAATCCTAAAGCTCCAAAATATTCTTACTTGACACCATGTCTCATATCCAGGGTACAATGAGGCAAGAGATGGGCACAGAAGGCCTTAGGCATCTCTGCCCCATGGCTCTGCAGGGTACAGCCCCCTTCCCAGCTGCTTTCATGGGCTGGGATTGAGTTCCTGCATCTTTATTCAAGTGCGTGGTGCAAGCTCTCAGTGGATCTACCATTCTGGGATCCAGAGGACGGTGGCCGTCTTCTCACAGATTTACTAGGTAGTGCTCCAGTGGGGACTCTATGCGGAGGCTCCAACCCCACAATTCCCCTGTGCACATCACCAGTAGAGGTTCTCCATTAGGGATCCACCCCTGCATTAGGCTTCTGCCTAGACATCCAGACTGTACCATACATTCTCTGAAATCTAGGAAGAAGCTCTCAAGCCTCAACTCTTGCACTCTGTGCACCTGCAGGCTTAACACCATGTTCTTACACTGCTATAAAGAATACCTGAGAATGGGTATTATAAAGGAAAGAAGTTTAATTGTCTCATGGTTCTGCAGGTTGTACAGGAAGCATGATGACATCTGTGAGACTTCTAGAGAGGCCTCAGGCAGGCCTCCACTTTGCCTTGCAATCATGGTGGAAGGCAAAGTGAAAGCAGACATATCTTACGTGGCCTGAACAGGAGCAAAAGAGAAAAGTGGGGAGGTGCCACACTTTTAAAGAACCAGATCTCACAAGAAATCTCTATCACCATGACAGCACTAAGGAGGATGCTGTTAAACCATGAGAAACCACCCCCATAATTCAATCACCTCCCAAGAGGCTTCATCTCCAACATTGGGGATTACAATTCGACATGAGATTTGGGTGGGCACACAGATTCCAATGATAGCAACACCATATTAAACTTGGTTCAAACCCATTCCCTGTCTCTAGCTGCACCACTTTAGGAATGTCACCTAATTTTCTTAACCTAGGATTTCTTATTTGTAAAACTGAGAAATATAGCAGACATTTCAAAAGACGGTTGTGTAGATTAAAGACATTCAACTTGGGTTTCAAAACTTGGCATCCAAATTATCATAAGTGAAACAGCATTTTTTAAAAAAAGATAACTGAATACCCTCCCTTCCTTCCCTCCTTCCTTCCTCCCTCCCTCCTTCCTTCCTCCCTCCCTCCCTTGCTTCCTTCCTTCCTTCTCTTTATTCCTTTCTTCCTTCCTCCTTTATTCTTCAAATAAAAATCTATTAAATGTATATTTTGCTTACTGCGTAAGAATATATAGAGAATGTCCTCATTTGTTTAGCTTTTCTTTACCTCACTTTGTGGATATACTGTACATAATAGACCTCTTAATTTTTTATTAAAAAATTTAATTATTGGTACATAATAAGTGCATATGTGCATGGGGTACACATAATGTTGTGATACAGACTTATTTGTGGGCTTTTCATATTACATTCAACGCCATGATGAATAACCATGTGCTTATGTCTTTTCATATTTTTCTCAATACCCATTTGGTATGATTTCCTGAATTTGGCTTAGTTCAGTCTAAGGGAATATGTACATGCAATTTCATATTTTCCTGCCCTTTTCTCTACATCATGATTACACTGCATTATCTTCCCTACAGCAGTGTAAAATTACATGCTCCCCACTACTTTGCCAAAAGATCATATTTTGGGATTTTGAGGTTTTACCACTTTTAAGAGAAATAATATGCCAGTGTAATTTTAACATTTACTTATTTTATTATGGGAAAGGTTAAATATATTTTCATATGGTAAATGCCATTTACATATTTTTTCTTTTCAACCATGTGTTCTTTACATTGGTTAATTTTTAATATAATCTGGTCTATTTATTTTACTTGATTATAAAATAAAGGTATATACTTTTCTGCAATTTCATTTTTATTGTGCTCTTCCTCAGTAATTGATTATGCTATGTAATTTTCTTCAGTGACTTTTTACCTACATACATTTTTGCACTGAAATAATTTCCACTTATATACATGTAGACACTTGACAGAAATTTGAGAAAATTTTGAGGCTTTTCTGTAGAATTTTGGAAAAAATTATCTCTGTGATCTTCAGTCTCCTGCTGAATGTTTTTAAATAATGGAACAGTCTTTGAGAACTGTTTTTATTTTATTATCCTATGAATCTGTTTTATGATGAATATAAGGAAAACATTAATACAACATAAACATTATAAAAGTGTTGGCTTTTATATACAGAGATGTGATTACTATGGTGCAGTATTATGCAGTATTATGCATATTATACTGCACTACTCTGGTGCAGTATAATATGGTACTATGATGAAGTATTATTCATTCTGTTTTAAGTTTTGCAAAAGTTTGAACCATGCCACAAAAATA
The DNA here is from genome assembly GCF_000001405.40 of Homo sapiens. Taxonomy (NCBI): domain Eukaryota; kingdom Metazoa; phylum Chordata; class Mammalia; order Primates; family Hominidae; genus Homo; species Homo sapiens. The sequence goes on along the minus strand of NC_000005.10, from coordinate 99,833,882 downwards.
TCGTGTTCTGATACTACATGCTATCACAGCAGTGATATGTGTTCACTGCTGGATTTTTACATCTACATGGAGATTACAACTCATGCACAACTTCATGTACTCAGCAAATATTTACTGAGAAGTTGCTATGTTCCAAGTGCTCCTCATTTTCTACATGAGAAAAATGAGGCCCAGACTAAGTACACAGCTAATTAGTGAGACACCTTAGAAACTAGAAATTGGTTCAAGACCATTCGAAATTAGTTTCCCTATTACTACACTGACTCAGAAAACTATCTAAATAAAACTTCCAGGAAATTACCAACATAAATGGCAAGGTTCTAGGAATATTAATTCCTATCTTAGTGTAAATCAAGGTTGAATCCCTTTTGCACATTTGTATGGTTGGCATTGTTGTTCAACCATCACACTATTTGAATGTTTTGCTTCTAAAAGGAGCACACTTCCCTATAGGACCTTATTTTGAAACTGCTCATTTTTATAAACCAAGTGACAATATGTACATTCTGTTTACATGCTTGAATTGTGAAGGTATTTAAAAGTGTTTGACTTAATGAGTACAGTCCCAGTAGTTAAGTGTGTATATATATATATACTTCATGAGTATAGTCCCAGTAGCTGTGTATATATACATATATGTGTATATATGTGTATATATGTGTGTATATACATATATATACGTATATATATATATATATATATAGAGAGAGAGAGAGAATACTTCAAAGTTCAGATACTTCAAAGTAAGTTACAAATCAATGAGATTAAAAAATAAAAGCCAAGAGCTATAGATATTAATTCAGGATATAATATTTTCTGAAGGAAATTGACAATAAGAAATGCATTAATTAGAACATACTTACAACTTAGGTTATATAAGGCAACTACAGATTTTTGAGATGCTTTTCTGTGTAAAGTAATTCAATGGGATTGCTTTCTTTAGTTTTAATAATATCTTAAGGAAAAAATATACAGAACTGATCCTTGGCAAAGGTGTGAAAAGAAGAAGCAAGATTAAATTTCAAAGCAATATGGTCTAAAGACAAATATAAGTGCCAGGAGGAAATAATGAATTAAAGATAATCAAGCAATTGATGTTAAATTACTTCTTATTCTATTGTGGGTAGGTTCAAGACTTGTTATTTTATTTTTCTTTTAAAATAACATACATTTTATACAGCGTATATGTGTATGTATGTATATATACATTACATAAAATGTTCCATTAATTTGTTTTTATTTTAAAATCTTTATATTTTGTGTATATATTATAGTTATCTATTATTTCATAATAAAATGAAAAAATCGATGAGATTGACATGGCCTAAAAATGGCAGTTGGTTTATTTTTTTCATCTTTAGTGACAAAAATGGCAAAGGACCTCACTTAGATACAAATCCCTGGGGTCACTGAGAAGTCATTATTAGGGTCACTATATATTAATTTTCAAATTAAATTTCTCATAAGTATTGTTTTTTCCAAGCTAATCAACTACAAAAGGTTGAGAAATATCTTTATGGGTAGCATGTAACATTTTAAAAGTAACATAAAATTTTTATTTCTACTTAGTCTCATTTTAAAAGTTATTGTTCTCATTTAAAAAGAAACAAGTTTGCTCTTAAAAGCATGTCAAACTACATTAGTTTTCTTCTAAAACATTTAGCCCCAGGTGTAAATTTGCTTTGGATTACATTGGCATACAGGAAGATAAAAGTGCTTTTTAAAAGACATACTATCAAACTATATTTAGGGTCTGGAGGCTTAGGTGTAGTGAGAAGAAAGCCAGGGAAATAAATTGTATAAAATTACATGTGTTTTCTTTAAAACATATGATTTATTCCCTGTCTTATTTTACTTTTCCTAGAATTAATTATTGTAAATCAAAAATTCATAATATGGTTATAGGTAATTTCTCTTCTACAATTGCCTGAAGTACAGCAATAAGATTTTAAATTTCTCGCTAGCAGTCTATCAATTTTATTGATCCTTTCAAAAAGCCAGCTCCTGGATTCAAGCAAGACTAATAAAGACAAAAAGAGAGAAGAATCAAATAGACGCAATAAAAAATGATAAAGGGGATATCACCACCGATCCCACAGAAATACAAACTACCATCAGAGAATAGTACAAACACCTCTACGCAAATAAACTAGAAAATCTAGAAGAAATGGATAAATTGCTTGACATATACACTCTCCCAAGACTTAACCAGGAAGAAGTTGAATCTCTGAATAGACCAATAACAGGATCTGAAATTGTGGCAATAATCAATAGCTTACCAACCAAAAAGAGTCCAGGACCAGATGGATTCACAGCCGAATTCTACCAGAGGTACAAGGAGGAACTGGTACCATTCCTACTGAAAAAATTCCAATCAATAGAAAAAGAGGGAATCCTCCCTATCTCATTTTATGAGGCCATCATCATCCTGATAGCAACGCCGGGCAGAGACACAACCAAAAAAGAGAATTTTAGACCAATATCCTTGATGAATATTGATGCAAAAATCTTCAATAAAATACTGGCAAACCGAATCCAGCAGCACATCAAAAAGCTTATCCACCATGATCAAGTGGGCTTCATCCCTGGGATGCAAGGCTGGTTCAATATACGCAAATCAATAAATGTAATCCAGCATATAAACAGAGCCAAAGACAAAAACCACATGATTATCTCAATAGATGCAGAAAAAGCCTTTGACAAAATTCAACAACCCTTCATGCTAAAAACTCTCAATACATTAGGTATTGATGGGATGTATCTCAAAATAATAAGAGCTATCTATGACAAACCCACAGCCAATATCATACTGAATGGGCAAAAACTGGAAGCATTCCCTTTGAAAACGGGCACAAGACAGGGATGCCCTCTCACCACTCCTATTCAACATAGTGTTGGAAGTTCTGGCCAGGGCAATTAGGCAGGAGAAGGAAATAAAGGGTATTCAACTAGGAAAAGAGGAAGTCAAACTGTCCCTGTTTGCAGATGACACGATTGTATATCTAGAAAACCCCATCGTCTCAGCCCAAAATCTCCTTAAGCTGATAAGCAACTTCAGCAAAGTCTCAGGATACAAAATCAATGTACAAAAATCACAAGCATTCTTATACACCAATAACAGACAAACAGAGAGCCAAATCATGAGTGAACTCCCATTCACAATTGCTTCAAAGAGAATAAAATACCTAGGAATCCAACTTACAAGGGACGTGAAGGACCTCTTCAAGGAGAACTACAAACCACTGCTCAATGAAATAAAAGAGGATACAAACAAATGGATGAACATTCCATGCTCATGGGTAGTAGGAAGAATCAATATCATGAAAATGGCCATACTGTCCAAGGTAATTTATAGATTCAATGCCATACCCATCAAGCTACCAATGACTTTCTTCACAGAAATGGAAAAAACTACTTTAAAGTTCATATGGAACCAAAAAAGAGACCGCATCGCGAAGTCAATCCTAAGCCAAAAGAACAAAGCTGGAGGCATCATGCTACCTGACTTCAAACTATACTACAAGGCTACTGTAACCAGAGCAGCATGGTACTGGTACCAAAACAGAGATATAGATCAATGGAACAGAACAGAGCCCTCAGAAATAACGCCGCATAGCTACAACTATCTGATCTTTGACAAACCTGAGAAAAACAAGCAATGGGGAAAGGATTCCTTATTTAATAAATGGTGCTGGGAAAACTGGCTAGCCATATGTGGAAAGCTGAAACTGGATCCCTTCCTTACACATTATATAAAAATTAATTCAAGGTGGATTAAAGACTTAAATGTCAGACCTAAAACCATAAAAACCCTAGAAGAAAACCTAGACATTACCATTCAGGACATAGGCAGGGGCAAGGACTTCATGTCTAAAACACCAAAAGCAATGGCAACAGAAGCCAAAATTGACAAATGGGATCTAATTAAACTCAAGAGCTTCTGCACAGCAAAAGAAACTACCATCAGAGTGAACAGGCAACCTACAGAATGGGAGAAAATTTTTGCAACCTACTCATCTGACAAAGGGCTAATATCCAGAATCTACAATGAACTCAAACAAATTTACAAGAAAAAAACAAACAACCCCATCAAAAAATGGGCAAAGGATATGAACAGACACTTCTCAAAAGAAGACATTTATGCAGCCAAAAGACACATGAAAAAATGCTCATCATCCCTGGCCATCAGAGAAATGCAAATCAAAACCACAATGAGATACCATCTCACACCAGTTAGAATGGCAATCATTCAAAAGTCAGGAAACAACAGGTGCTGGAGAGGATGTGGAGAAATAGGAACACTTTTACACTGTTGGTGGCACTGTAAACTAGTTCAACCATTGTGGAAGTCAGTGTGGCGATTCCTCAGGGATCTAGAACTACAAATACCATTTGACCCAGCCATCCCATTACTTGGTATATACCCAAAGGACTATAAATCATGCTGCTATAAAGACACATGCACACGTATGTTTATTGCAGCACTATTCACAATAGCAAAGACTTGGAACCAACCCAAATGTCCAACAATGATAGACTGGATTAAGAAAATGTGGCACATATACACCATGGAATACTATGCAGCCATAAAAAATGATGAGTTCATGTCCTTTGTAGGGACATGGATGAAATTGGAAATCATCATTCTCAGTAAACTATCACAAGGACAAAAAACCAAACACCACATGTTCTCACTCATAGGTGGGAATTGAACAATGAGAACACATGGACACAGGAAGGGGAACATCACACTCTGGGGACTGTTGTGGGGTGGGGGGAGGGGGGAGGGATAGCATTAGGAGATATACCTAATGCTAAATGACGAGTTAATGGGTGCAGCGCACCAGCATGGCACATGTATACATATGTAACTAACCTGCACATTGTGCACATGTACCCTAAAACTCAAAGTATAATAATAATTTTAAAAATTTAAAAGATTTTAAATTTCTCTATAGATCACCTCCTAAGAGAAGACTAATTTTTAATATTGAGTTGGAAGAACTTTGGTGAATTGGTGTTCTTTGCCATGCAGGTTATTTTTTACATCGACACATATGTCAATAATTTTCTTTATTTTGTTTTCTAAAGAAGCGAAGTGTGCTTATTTTCCCAAATATTTGAGTGCCTCAATTTCTGCTTTATATGCAATAGTAAAACAACTTGTATCTTAATAAATGAATAGAAGTAATATATGTTAACGAGTTGTATTTTTCATCTTTGAAGATCTGCCTTTTATGTGCATAAATTTTATTGACTTGAAAATTTATATAACATCAGATAAAGTAGGAATGATATATATGATTTATTATCACAAAATATGTTAACATTATATTCCCTATATATAATAATGCAAGTTAATGTCATTTAAAATAAAAAGTAGCTATTAATAAATGTAATTTTATGTTTTTAGACAGTAACCATTTGATACTTTAATATTTTATTATTCAACCAACTCTTTACTTCTTTCTGCTGAAGATTATTTTGCCTTTAAGATCAAATACAGAACAGTTGATCCTTTAACAACATCAGAGTTAAGGGTGCCAATCCACCACACAGGAGAAAATCTGCATATAACGTTTGACTTCCAAAAAACTTAATTTCTTATTGCCTACTATTAACCAGAAGCCTTATCTATAACATAAACAGGCAATTAGCACATATTATATGTGGTATATTATATACTGTATTCTCTGCAATAAAGTAGAGAGAAATATTAAGGAAATCATAAGGAAATACTATTGTATATACTGTAGTCTCTACAATAAATAAAGAGAAATGTTAAGGAAATCATAAGGAAAAGAAAATGTATTTGCTATTCATAAAGTAGAAGTGGATCATCATAAAGGTCTTCATTCTCATAATCTTCACGTTGAATAGGCTGAGAAGGAGGAGGAAGAGGAGAGGTTGGTCTTGCTGTCTCAGGGCTTAGACAGAAGAGGTGAGGAGGTGAAAGAGGAAGCAGGAGTTCCTGGCAGGCTTGGTGTAACTTTATGGAAATATATATCACAATTTCTGTCTGATATTTTTGCTTTTTCATTTATCTGAAAATGTTTCTATATCCCTCTTCCACTGTTTGCTTTACTTTCAGTGTCCATGTTATAGTAGGGTCCACATCATAAAAGAACTCAAAAGCAGTCATGAATAACTGGAACTCTTCTGCCAGATTATTTCCTATGTCAATTGTTTTTCTGAAACTTCTTCTATATCCTCTTCCTCTTTGTTTGGCATTGGTTCTGAAGCTCTGATCTCCACCAAGTCATCTCCTCTTAGTTCCTCTGGTGTGGTGTCTGTTAGCTCTTGAATGTCTCCAAAATCTGTATCTTGAAACCCTTCCAACTTTTTATGCCATATTCATAATCGCTTTAATGATTTCCTTTTTTCGCTCTGTCATAAATCCCATGAAGTCATTCAGGACATCTGACCACAGTTTTTTCCAGCATGGATTTATTGTTCAGGCTTGATGGTTTTCATGGCCTTTTTTATGACTACAGTGGCATCTTCAATGGTATAACCCTTCCAGAATTTCATGATGTGCTCTCTATTGGAGGTCTTTTTCATAGCTTTGACAATCCTTTCCATAGAGTACAATGTGTAATGAGCCTTAAAGGCCTTATGACTGCTTGATTTAGAGGCTGAATTAATGATGTGGTACTTGTAGCAAGTAGATCACTTTGACACCTTTGGTGTTGAATTCCTTTAATAATAATTTTGTATATATTTTGTGGTAGTAAATATAGACTAGCATCTACATATATTTTATGCATTCATAACGTAACTTTTTCTTACTTTTTGATATTTCTAGGCTATGCAGTTTATTTGAAAGTTTTTTATATTGTTGCACATCTCAAAAAATTAATATATGCAGAAAACAATTCACATATTTGTAGATGCACACAGTTCAAACCGATGTTGTTTGAGGGTCAACTGTATATGAATGCTTAGCAGAATAATTGTTTTCAAATGATTTATAACTCATTCTGATTTGAAAGCAATTTGTAATGGTTCATCAAAGAATATCATCGGGGCAACTGAAAAGGTAAATTTATTGGAACTGTAGGTTTATTTATTTGTAATTACATTTATGTTTGCCCTGGGACATAAATGATTTAAATGTAACAAAAAACAAATACGATATTAATAATAAAACTAAAAATACATTTAACTTTGTTACTAATTACCAATTTAAACATTATGACCTCCATTAAATTCTTTAAGATTACTAACATTGACAAACCCATATTAGGTTAAGATGGAAGAAAATAGGTATTACATTTGTACAAATGTAAATTATTCTAAAGTTTCTGTAGGGCAATTTAACATTGGGCATCATATAAGACTTGTGTATTACCTGATTTCACCATTGCTTAAATAGAAATTTATTTTAGAAAGATAATGGTACATGTCAGCTAGCATCTGTCTTCATGGATATTTTTTACACTATTGCTTAACCAGCGTAATGGTAAAAGAAATGGAATTTTCCTAGAAAACCTAATTAGTGGGGATAAATAAATTAGGGTACATTTATATAACAGAATTTTAGGCAGCCATTAAAATAACAATGTACAGTTAAATTAATGATATTGAAAGAAATGCCTGACGTGTTGTTTATTGAATAAAGCAGCATTTCTAACTGCAGTGTTTTGTTTCATTAAAAATTTATATTATGTTTGCAAGATGTGAGTACAGTTTAATATTTGGAATATTTACTAAAATACTAGCAATTATTTTTTTGAGTAGTGATATTCCAATTAATATTATTTTATAATTTATTTTGCTTACTGTATTTAGAAAGAATTAATTGAGAATTATACTGATTATTAAGCTATTGTGTCTGATTCCCAAACCCACACTGCCATATTGTGCTTTTCATGCTGGAGTTGAGACTCTGGAAATCATATTTCTTGTGGTGCCAGTTTCCAGTGTTTTCAGTGTTTTCCCACAATCCACAGAAGTGACTTTATCTCGTTCCTCTTTGTGAAAGCCGGTTGGCATTCTTTCCTTAGAAATCTGAGTACTTGTTCCTTCCGGAATTTCTAAGCTTTTAGATTCTAAGAACTACAATTTCTTTCATGTTCCCCCAGCCATAGGGGTCAGTTGCTGTTTTCTACATTACTATGTCTGTGTTACCTGATTGTCACCTTTTGCCTTTTTGGTTCCCCAATCTCTTTCTACATAATGTTGTGTATAAAATTCTGCTTATTAAAATAACTAGTGTTTGTATTCTCTGTTTTGTTCTCTGTATTCTGAGAGATACAAGAATTAATCATGCTTACTGTCAAAGTAAAATAAAAAGCTATTTTATTTGAGAAATTACCAATCAATGTGTCTCTAATGAAAGATTATCAGAGAAAATTTATTGAAATCCTGTCTCTCTAGCAAGGCTGTATTAAGTGCCAAATTTGGCAGCAGTTATTAGTGCCTAACTCTAGCATTGTGTTTACCTAATTGTATAAACTTTACTTGTTTACCTGAGTGACTAATGCTCCTTCTCCAACATCTTTTGTCATCTTCCCTATCATCAAACACCTTCCTGGACACATATTGGAAGACATTTACTATCTGATATGTGTGATGTTTTTAAAGATAGTCTTGGAGGTGTTGTAAATTCAGTTTGGAGAAGAGGAATAGAAATAATAGTCGGGAAAAAAGGTGAAAGATTAAGAGGTAGAATATACAGCTTTTGGTGAACAGTAAGATGACTAAAATAAAAACATATTTTTACATTGAATGATTCAATGGCACTATTTAATGAGAATAAAGTTAAACAACTCATGAGTTAAATTTGGGAAATACTAAGTGGTGGAGGTGGCTATACCAGTTTTTGAATTAAACATTCAAAACATTCCTTAGTGCCTATTAGGACGTATATATGACATATATGTCATATATGATATGAGCAAAAATAAACATACTCAATTATTACACAGAGAATCGTTTTAGTCATTTGTTCTATACTATGTTCTTATATGTATATAGTTTTCACGGTACAATCAATTTCAACAAATTGTGTTATGACTCACTTTTCCAAATGTGTTTTATATCTCCCCACATCAATTTTTTTGTATTAACAATTTTAAAAATATTTGTTAATTCAAAATGGTTGACTATGTCTATTTGCTATGTTTCAGGCACTATAAAGGCACTGCAAGGATCAAATTATGGGCATAAAACAACACTCTGCCTCATAGAAATGAGAATTTAATAAGGAGACAGATACTGTGTTTCATTATATTTATTTAGACCCGTTGCACTAGGTTTTCCAAGGTTTTATTCCCTGAATAGTTTCTAGTTGAGTGGGCCATGAGGAACAGTTTGCCTAAGTATTATAATCTAACAATAAAAGGGAATGTCTTTAATCTGATGAAGAATATGCCTGAAACCTGTAGCAAATATCATACAAAATGGTTGAATAGATCTCATTCCCTGAGATCTGGATTGAGACAAAGATGCCCATTATCAATATTTCTTTTCACAACATATGGCAATCTTAACCTGTGCAATAAGATACGAAAACTATTCTTGAAAAGAAAAAATATTAATATTACTTTTTGCTGTTGAAACTATTGTGTACCAAGAAAATCCACAATAATATAAATTATTAGAACTATTAAGTGGATTTAGCATGTTAATTGGATATAAGGGGAAGATATTAAAAGTTATTGAATTTGTATATAACAGTAACAAATAACTGTCAAATAAAATTTAAAATACAATTTACAATAGCTATAAGAATTAAATATGTAAGAATAAATATACAAAATATATTAATATAATCACAGTACGAATAAAAAGAAAAATTGAGAGATATTGTTAAATACCTAAATAATTGGAGAAATGCATTCTGCTTACAAATTATAAGAAAATATTTTAAGATGTCAGTCTTTTCAATGATAATATTTGAATTTAATGGAAAAATGAACAGAAATGTCAAGATTTTTAGTTCAAATCGACATGCAAAATTTAAATTTCACTTTGGGAGACCAAATCAAGAGGATTGCTTGAGACCAGGGATTTGAGACGAGCCTGGGCAACATAGTGACTCTGCCTACACACACACATACACACACACACACAGACACACACTCACAAACAAATTAGCCAGGTATGGTGGCCCAGCTATCCTTTATGGCAGAGGTGGAAGAATTTCTTTAGCCCAGGAGCTTGATGTTGCAGTAAGCCATGATCCTGCCACTGCATTGCAGCCTGAGTGACATCACAAAGATACTGCCTCAAAAAAAAAGGTAAATTTGTATAAAATATGTAGCTCTAAAGGACTGAGAATAACAATGAAAGTTGAGGAAGAGATTCATGGAAAATAATAGAAAGTCCAGTAACAGTTAAACACATGTATACAATCACTTGATTTATGAATAGTGACAATGCCGTGTAGAGGGATTCTATATTCTTATCAGTAAATGGGAGTAAACACTAACTCATAGGGTCACTGTGAGAACTTAAGACAATCAGTGTAAAGCGTCAGTAAAGTACCCGGTGTACTTCATTAGCAATCAATTTATTGCTCCTGCTTCTTGACTCACAGATATTTTTTCAATTTTATTTCATTTTCTGTGACTTCAGGCCAAATTTCTCAGTTTCTTTCCCTGTAATGTGCCCATAAGCAGCATTTTTTTCTAGATGTAAAATTGCTTTATTCACCATGTAAGCCTCCTTCCCTTCATTTGAACAAATGTGTATTCTATGGTTTAACGAGATCTTCTTTTCTCTTTGGATATTCTAGTCTAACCATTTTGATTTATACTTGTAGAAACTTTGTATAACTTTTATAACTGCCTATGATCACAGGAATTGCCAAATAAATTCTTTAGTTAGAGGCCTAGGTAATCTATCTAGAGACTCATAGTTTGAATGATATACAAATGGAAGTGATGGGCTCCAGGTGATTTAAACACTATTTCTAAAACACTGGAAAAAATCAAATTTACCTGCAGAAGAAGATCCTGACTATGCTTGCCTGCTGCTTATTTTTGCTGAGCGAAATAGATTTTTCAATATACAGAGAAAAAAACACTAAAATGTCATGTGTAATGACCTAAGCCAATCTTATCTGCTTTCTTGTATTTCTTTAGAGTAGATTGTTTTTCTCTAATTTAAAACATTTAATAATACTTAATGCATGAAATAGCCACATGAAAGGACAATCTCTGATTGAATGTAAGAATGATAATTGCACTTGTTGCTGTGGCTGCTTCAAACCATAGAAATGTATGAGAGTGCTACTTAAAGCCCACTTCCTGTAAACATGGAAAACAGATAATAAGAAATGGTAAACTGGACCAAAAAACAGTCCATGAGTAAAATACTTCATTTTCGTTCCCTGATTTCCATGACAACTGAACTGGTACACATATTTATTTATCCGTTTTTCTTACCTAGGTGCCTATAAAAATCAAATCATCTTTAAATTGGATTTAGATCCATCTTGAGATTGGTGTTCTGTACCTAAATAAAAAGCATTTACCCTTTCAACACATGTATATAACTTGAAGTTTTATTTTAAATGACCAAGTAGAAGAACAGTGAACCCGAAAATCAGATAGTGTTGTAAAAACACATTATTTCAAGCATTCTTTCAATTCACAGCATGCAGAATAGTGAATGCACCCAATTGATTTCTATTTTCCTCCAACAAAATTACTATTTTGTTTTACTACCCACTGAGACTGAAAACAAGTTCAACAGAACATATTTAAAGCAACTTTCTGTTCTACTAACAAAATTACCAAAATTGCAATGCTGAGTTTTGTATCAAAATTTTCTGTTCATTTAATTTTTTGTACTGGTATCCCAATAATATGACCATTTTTTTCCCAGAAATATAATTTGATAAACAAATAGTTGCAATGTTTCATTTTGTACAAATTGTGCCAATTATGTTTTCTAAAAATAATCAGAGGATAATACTAATTCATCATGTTTTCATAAAATGCATATTAAGATATTTATTTTACTTTAGCTGCTATGAAAATGGCACTATAAATTTTATTTATGAAATAGATGAACCAAATTATGTTTTCAAAGAAAACCAGATCTGTGTTATTTATTTACTAGATATCACCTTAAAAATAAGTGTACTTTAAGCTGCAAACATCAACATTTTAGAGTAAAAATGAATAGGAATGAAATAACATCCCCCTACTTTCTGGAAGCCTCCTGTCCTTGATTTCTCAGTTTGGGGACCAGATTTTATACATAAGTATAGAAGACCGCCCCTATTTCAATACCAGTATTGCAGTATCCTGAGAGGTAATGTAACTTGAAAGTTTATAGAAAATTTAAAAAATAGAATAACTTTATAAACATTTTAGATTTAAATTATTAACATTATCCAGAATGTTAACCATACATTTAAAAATCCATCATAAATAACAAAGATATATACATCCATTTAGTTTTCTATAAGTATTTATGAAATCTTTAAGTTGTTCAATACTTTACTAGATAACCACCAAATAAATTATTTCTGATTCTGGGCCTACTCTTATAAGGTTCTATTAATCTTTTTCAGGTGCACCACATCATTGTATAATGAAATGGTTACTTGAGTTTATTTGAGTAATTTATTCAAAATGACACAGCATTTGCTATCTCTGCCTAGATTTCTCAAAGTACGATATTAAATAAAAGAATCCTTTACATTTAACTTATATTGCCATTTAATTTATAATTTGTCTGTCTGCAAATTTAAATTTGGGGGTAGTTGTTTTTTGTAACATAGATCTTTACATCCTTCTGTCTCATGACTGACTCTCTCTCTCTCTGTATTTGAAGTACTGTGATATCATGAACCAGCTTGTTCCTTTTCTCAAGAATTATTGTCACCTCAAAGAATCTCCCCAAACACAGATATATGGATTCTATGTAATTTCCCTATATGTTCTTAGAAGGTTCTGTTAATCCAAAATAATGAGATTTTATAAGCTTAGTTATTTCTTGTCCTTAATCATGTAGGCTACTCAACTACATTACATACTTGACTTTGGAACAACTGGAGTTTGAACTGCACAGGCCTACTTATACTCAGATTTTTTTCAACAAGCATATATGAGAGGGCCGGCTTTTTATATATTGGGTTCCACAGGACCAGCTGTAGGACTTGAGTGTGTGTGAATTTTGCTATGGAGGGTGATCCTGAAACCAATCCACCATGTATTCCAAAGGACTTCTATAATTCAAAATAAAGCTTTATGAATCAATCCACCTGGTTTTTGCCTGCAATACTCACTAGCATTGTTCTAAATATCTGTAAGAGAGTAGTGTCTTCTTGCCTTTTACCTATGCACAGCTACTGACACTACTAGCTGTGTATTTTCTTATTGGAGCAGGCAAATAATGAACATCTCTTCCAAGTTACATTCAGGGCTACAAATTTAGATTTGTTCTTTGAATGTGAAATTTACTCATTTGATTTCATAACATTATATTATTTTACCATTTTGCTTAAATGACAGTGACTAAGGTAGAAATGTTTATAGGGATAATATACATTGGAACTCTCCACTAATAGCTGCATATTAAATGTAACATGTACATATAAAATAGAGATCATACTGATGTCTTGAACTGTGTTTCCTTTGTGAATTCAGGCAAAACATGCTGTCAGAGACTCAGATGAGGAAATTAAACAAATACAATACTATTATCTGCACATTTTGATACTAGCAATTACACATTAGAAGATTTGCTAAGCTACTGGCGAACAAGTCACTTTATAACCTGTTAGCTGGAATATATATTAGAGAATGAGCTGCATTGATATACTGTTGAGATATGAAAGAATACTTAATTTGATACAACACAGTAAATGGCACTAAGTGTCTTCCATTTAAACCTTCTTTGGACTAGTTTCAGGGGTGATGTTAAGTGGTATAACAAAAGATGGCAATGCAGGAGAGCCCCCGGATGTACTTCAGGATTCTGGTGCAAACCCAAAAATGCAAGGCATAATGTCAGGTGATTTTTCAAAAGAATGTGATACTGTTAAAAGAGAAATCTTTTTCCTATAATTTGGAATTGTGGAGGTCACTGGAAGAGGGTGGGAATGAAGAGGCACTGATCAGAGCAGATAGCAGGTAGGCATCTAACAGGGATGAGTATTTTTTCCAAATAGAGATAATGGTACTAAATGGTTCTATTTATTGGCTACTGCAGTTGAAGCTGGTAAAATAAACCAGGCATTCAATGTCTCCCTTTAGCATAGAGGAAGGGTTTGGATAGGCTGAGATTGTTAACATTTGAACTTTCTGGCTGCTTCTGGGATTTTCCTATTTTCCAAGATTGTAAGGATAAAGAAACATATAATAGAGTTAGCTCACTTGATATCAAGCAACACATTTTTAAAAGCTTAAAATCTTCAGAAAATCCTTAAAACTCAATTATTCCACAAGTAACAAATGTTCATAACAAACTTATTATAAAAGCTATCCAAAAAGAGAAAATAATTTAAACTTTCTACTCTTAAGGTGACCTTTCAAAATCAAATATTGAAAAAAAGAAGTGGCATCAAGGAAAAATAATCAACATAACTAATAAACTATGTCATTTTGAAAATAATAGACTGGCTCCCATTCATGCTTTTACAGAAATAATGAATATATGGTACATATATAAATATAGGTGCTGTTAGGATCACTCCTTAATACTTCTGATAACCCTGAATTTTGGAGAGTTTCATGGCTTCCTCAAGGTTAATAAGCAGTACAACTACTAAGTGACAATGTTGGAATTTAGGTCTAAGCAATTTAAGTCCAGAGTATGTGTTTTAAATAAAAACATTATTTTAGTGATTCGCGTCATCATTGTTACAATCGTTACTATACGATTTCATATATTCACCCGAATCCAGTGATAATTATTTAGATTCATTTTAAATATGATGAAGCTATCATAGAGAGGTTAACTAATTTCACAGCTGTCTAGGAGTACCAGATGGTGGAGTAATTCAGTTATGAATGCCAGTATTCTTCCTGTATTCTACCCTATTTTGGATAATTAATTTTTGTTTCTGCTGCTACCTCATTTCTTTTCTTTAGTTGTATCTGGTGCTACCTCATTTTTTCTCTTTAGTTAAGATAAAAGACAGTCTAATATATATATATATATATATACACACATACACACACACACACACACACACACACACATATGTATGAACATATAATAGAGTTAGCTCACTTCATATCATGAAACAGATTTTTAAAAGCTTACAATCTTCAGAAAATCCTTAAAATCCAAATTTCCAATCTCAGAGAGAGAAACAGAAAGATACATATATATATATATATTCCTGCTTTTAATATTTTATGCATCATAGTATGACAAGGTATTTAGTGCTTTGGAGAATATTTGATATTTTGTGTTGCTAGATTAAAATGCACATTCCTATACACATCTTTATTGAACTTTCTCTACTTCTGCCTTAGTTGTTTAGATATCACTGTCAATATTTTAATATACTTAGACTTAAATAACAGAGAAGAAGTCCTACATATGGATAGTGTGACTCTCAAGCCTTGTTGTAGCCTGCTTTTTCTACCTCTGAAGCTGTAGCTTCCTCATATGTATTCTGTTCTTCCTTTCATCCTCTTGCTCTCACCATGAAATGCAGGTATATGTTTTTATTCTTATATTGCCGGGCACGGTGGCTCACGCCTGTAATCTCAGCACTTTGGGAGGCCGAGGCGGGCCGAACACAAGGTCAGGAGTTCGAGACCAGCCTGACCAACATGGTGAAACCTCGTCTCTACTAAAAAAAAAAAAAAAAAAAATTACCCGGGCGTGGTGGTGCGTGCCTATAATCCCAGCTACTCAGGAAGCTGAGGCAGAAGGAGAATCATCGCTTGAACCCGGGAGGGCGGAGATTGCGCTGAGCCGAGATCGCGCCACTGCACTCCAGCCAGGCAACAGAGCTAGACTCTGCCTCAACCAGAAAAAAAAAAAATCACTTTACATTTATAAGTTTAGTGGATCACTGAAGATTTGGGTTGGCAGTTCCTGATTTAGGCCTCAGCATGCAGCGCAGAGCTATTTCCTCCCTTCTAACGTTCTTCCACAGAATTACAGGCCATCTCCCTACAGGGACATCTCTGACCACTTTCTTCTAGAGTTCTCTACTTTCACTCTCCATTTCATTGCCTTATTTTATTCTCTTCATTGTATCTGTTAACATCTAAAATTGCCAACAAAATTACTTGTTTATTGTCTTTTATTGCCTACTAGAGTGTCAGGCCATCGAGAGTTGGAAACCTAGCTCTCATTCTCTTACGTATTCTCAGTAACTTGAATGCCTGGAACATAACGAGTTCTTGATATATACCTATGACATGAAAAAAAATCTTAATTGGGTCTCTTATTCCCTGCCTCTATTCTTTATCTTAGCTTCCTGGTTTGTTCTCTGGAGTTCCATTTCCTTTTCACCTTTGTACTATAGATGAACTTCTTTCCGAAAGTGTTGAATGTCTTACTTTCTTTTTTTTTTTTTTTATTGTATTTTAAGTTTTAGGGTACATGTGCACAACGTGCAGGTTTGTTACATATGTATATATGTGCCATGTTGGCTTACTTTCTACTTCAGACACTGGTCAAATCATTCTTCTAACAAGCATGGCATTCTTTCTAAGAAGACTTGCAATCTATCTGCATTATTTCATACATAAATTTTTATTTGTAATAGCCT
The DNA here is from genome assembly GCF_000001405.40 of Homo sapiens. Classification (NCBI taxonomy): domain Eukaryota; kingdom Metazoa; phylum Chordata; class Mammalia; order Primates; family Hominidae; genus Homo; species Homo sapiens. The sequence continues at coordinate 99,817,186 of NC_000005.10, read as the reverse complement.
ATATACATTCAAATAAATATTTCTGTGTGTAGACAAACCTATATGATGTATTTCTTTAACCAGAAATAATCTCTCAGAATACCAATATTACTAAAAGTGTGAAAAATTAGTATTTGAAATAGGCTTTATTTTACAGTAAATTGTGCCAACACATTTTTTTTAAGAGGGAGAAAACAATTAGATTAAGGACAATGAGCACTGAGCAGGTATGGTAAAGAAAGGTTCATGAATTACCACATAGGATTCTAATTAATATGAGATCCACAATAGACAGTTGCTAAGGAGAAGTTTTTGTGAGCTACAGGGGGCATTCTATATTTGTGTTATTGCTTCAATATATTTTCCCATTGTCTAAGGAGAAATAATGTGCTGTTCTTTCTGTATCATAGGAATGCTTCTGTATCTCTGGATTATGAGAGCTGAAGAAATAACTCTAAAGAATAGGTGAGCTGGCAGGGATGTTTTGGGGAAGACTGAAAATTAAAGAGTTACAAAGAAGTAAATAATGAAAGATCAAAACCAAAAAAACTTTACCTATGATCAGGAATTCAGCAGGAAAGAGGATAAATTTGAAATTTCTGCTAAAGCAATGGCATCCCACAATGGACAAAGAACAATTATTTACTTGTGCTAGCTGGTGCAAAAATAATGTTACAAAACACAGAAAGAAAAAACAAAACATGTAGGTTGCTGACTCTATGCTGAGAGTACTGCATTGTAGTCTTAGGCAGAGCCAGCTGAACTACTTTTCCTATATTTCTGATTAGAAATTTCAGGAAAATTCAACAACTCAGTTGACTCTTCCTTGACTCAGCGTGAAAGATTGATATGGCCAGAAGAAATCTCCAGCTGGAAACTAAAATGTTGGGTGAAATAAACAGTGTTTTCAATATGTGCATCACTAGCAGAAAGTGACAAGGGAAAAAAAGAAGCATAGTGAAAGTTATTAGAAGTCTATATAGATAATAATTTTTTCTGAGCAATAGTTTCTAATAAAAGGCTGAAATTTTCATGATGTTAAATCATGAAATAAACAACTGGAAAGGATTTTAGAAAACTGGAAAGTATTTATTCAAAGATGGCTAAGTGATAAGAGAAAGCAAAAAACCAACACTTTAAAATGAAATTTTGAGAAGAGAAAAAGATAAATAAAGCAATAAATATGAGAATTTTGGAGGCAACCAGGTATATTAAAAATAATAAAGAGTAATTTTAATTTACATTTTGTTCCAAAGAGAACAGCAATTACGTTTCTCATTTGATTGTTGACATTATCCCTTAGAAGCCCAAGAAGACAGTGAGAGAACCTGTTATTATGCACTTAATTCACCAGAATTGAATGGTTTGTAATGAGGTAGTGTCAGAAAAGTAGTGAACATACTTGTAATTTTATAAGGGAATGACTCATATATTTATTTATGAACCCCAAGTTTTAGAAGAGGTTTCAATAATTTCTTAAATGCATAAAAGTGGTAACAGGAAGAGTTGCTTAAGCAGAAGAGGACTTAGAATATATCAATGATTATCTTAATTGAGCCATATAATAAATACAGTGAAGTATATGATGTGCAAACATTTTAAGCGTGTATCTTTTATGACTGTTTCCTCACCGTCTAGATCATGATATAAAACTTCCCATCACATCAGAACGTTTTTGTATACATATAGCCCACTCAAGTCAATGCATCATGTCCAAAGAGCAAAGCAGCATAATTTCTATCATCATCAGTTAGAGATGTTTGTTTTGGAACTCCATATAAATGGAATCACAGAGTATATACTCTAGTGTTTGGCTTGTTTTCTTCTTAATTACTTCAATAAGACATCCATTTTAAGTGTATCAGTAATTCATTACTTTTATTGATGTGTATGAACATTGCATTTGTATACCACAGTTTATTTATTCATTGCTTTATTGATGGAAATTGCATTTTGAGTTTTAGCTATTTTGAAATAGCTGCTATGAGTACTCTTTTACATGTATTTTATGGGAATGAAAGAGCACTAAAAATATGAATGCAGTGGTGGGGGACACATTGTTTAAGAGTATGTATTCTGGAACCAGTCTGATGAGATTTGAATCCTACCTCCTCTATTTTCCAGCTGAGTGGCCTTAGGCAAGTTGTCTAAATGCTCTCTGCCTCAGTTTCTCCATCTGTGAAACTAGGGTTAAACTAGTACACACAGAGTAATTGTGGTAGAAAATGAAAGGGAAAGTTCATAGTATATATGAATAATGAATTATGAATTGTGCAGTTCAATGTTTGGCACATAGAAATTCAAAGACATTTTGGACAATTTTGTCAGAAAAGTAAATGTTAAAATTAGCTGATGGTAGCAGAAAATTCCAATGGTCGTAGCAAGATTTTTTTTAACTTTGTGATAATAACTAGTTAACTCACTACTACTTCTTCCAATAGATAATACATTCAATGGAAAGATGTAAATAACTATTGTTAATTAAGACTAGCCTAAAACCAGAGCAGCTGTTTGGCTGGTGCATACTGCTTTGGTCATTTCTTTTGTTAAAGTTCCATTTCTGTTCCAGTTGGTCAAGTATTTTATTAGTTGTAGGTGAAGCGATACTAAGAGAGCAGCTGGCCATGTTAAGTGACTTCACATTTCCAAGTCTGACAAATTGAATTTGCCATGTTGGACACATTTCAAATGAAAATATTTAGCAATTGCACACTCTTAGTCACATAAAATAGGAAAAGAGCCAGACGACAAATTTAAATAGAGAAAATTGAATTCTGAAAACCACTGACCAATGGCATGCTTACTGAATAACAATTAAGTCCAGATATTGTGCCAGACAATGGATATAAAATGACAAACTACACCTTGTGTTTGAATAATTTATATTTTATTCTGTGAAATACACAATAAACAGGTAAATATCAATTCACACCAAAATTTTTGAGGTGAAATTATTAAATAAAAATCTGAGTATTTTGAAAAAAAAAAGAAAGAAAAGAAAGAAGGTCAATATTTTAGATCTCCAGGAAGAACAAGTCACCCAGAACTAAGCTATTTTTTTTTTTTTTGGCTCGTGGGTTATGTGGGTTTTAGATCTCAGATTGTGAAATGTTGTACACATATCTTTTTTTTGTTTTACAAAACATGTATGTCATTCTACATCAGAATCAAGATGATAGTTACCATTTATATTGATGTATGTAATTTGATTTGAAATATTCAACATAGTGTCATTATTTGTCTGTATTAATTAGTTTAAGGTATAGCCTAGGGGGAATTCATGGCCTTTTAAGGGAACTTTTACACCAAAGATGAACTCCTAGCAGTTTATCAGAAAGTCCACTCTGTAAATATACAGATGACAATGCAGGAGTTAGGGACAGTAACTTCCCGCATAGTCAGAAATCTGCTTATGACTTTTGACTCCCCAAAAGTTAATTACTAATAGCCTACTGTTGACTAATAGCCTACTGTTGTAACATCGTACTGTTTTCTGATAATATAAACAGTTGATAACACATGTTTTGTATGTTATATGTATTACAAAGTATTCTACAATAAAGTAAGCTAGAGAAAACAATATTAAGAAAATCATAAGGGGGAGGAAATATATTTATTATTTATTAAGTGGAAGTAGATCATCATAAAGCTTTTCATTCTCATTATCTTCATATTGAGTGGGCTGAGGAGGAGGAGGAGGAAGATGAGGGGTTGGTCTTGCTGTCTCAGTGATGGCAGAGGCAGACGAGGTGGAGGAGTTGAAAAGGGAGACAGAAGAGGCAGGCGCACTCAGTGTAATTTAGAGAAGTAAATCGTGATTTCTAGGTGATTTTTTGCTTTTTCATTTCTCTAAAAAGATTTCTATACCTTACCAGCCATCTGCGATTGTTTGCTTTAGTTTTAGCACCTATATCACAAAAGGGTCTCAGTCATAAAGGAAGTCAAAAGAAGTTTTGAATAATCAGAATCCTTCTCCCAGATAGTTGGGCCCGTTGGCCCAAAAGCAGCCACCAATTAAGAAACGTCAATTATTTTTCTGGCACAGTGTCTTCTACACCTTCTTCTTCATTGTCTGGCACTGGTTCAGAAGCACTCATCTGAAAAAGTTGTCTCTGTTAATTCCTCTGATGTGGTGTCTGTTAGCTCTAGAATTCCTTCAAGATTTATATTTTGAAACCCTTCATCCCTCTGGCATTTTTGCCACATCCACAGTCTCCTTGATGATTACGTTTACTGACTCTGTCATAAGTCTTGAGGAGTCACATACAACATCTAAACACAATTTTCTCCAACAGGAATTTATTGTTTTAGGCTTGATGGCTTTCATGTTTTTTTCTATAACAACAACGGCATCTTCATTGCTGTGATCCTTTCAGACTTTCACGATGTTCTCTCTATTGGGGTTACTTAAATAGCATTGACAACCTTTTTCATAGAGCACCATTTGTAATTAGCCTTAAAGGTCCTTATAAGCCCTTGATATAGAGGCTGAATCAAAGATGTGCTTGGGGACAAGTAGACCACTTTGATGCTTTAGATGTTGAACTCGTGGGCTTTGTGGTGGCCAGAGGAGTTGTCTAATAGCAAAGGAACTTTTAAAGGCAGTTTCTTACTGGCAAGGTGCTTCCTGACTTCAGGAACAAGGCATCAATGCAACTAATCTAAAGAAAGAGTACTAATTGCCCAGGACTTCTTATATAATACAACGAAAAGATTGGCAGCTGGTGTTTATCTTTTGTTTTCAAGGCTTGGGGCTTAGCATTTTTGTAGATAAGGGCAGTCCAGGACATAAATCTGACTGCATTTGCACAAAACTGTAGTTAGCCTATTCCTTCCTGCTTTAAGTCCTGATGATGCTTACTGCTCTTTCTTACTAGTAAGTGTTTTTTGTGACAATTTTTTTTTCCAGAGCACGGCACATTTTATCTGCATTCAAAATCTCTTCAAGTACATATTTTTTCTTCTTAAGTATTTTCCTAATGACACCAGGGAACTAATGCAACTGCTGCCCCTTGGTTAGCAGAAGTTGCTTTTCTTATTATCTGGAAAGTTTTTTGATCCAAAACTCTTCTGAAAATTATTAAACCATCCCTTGCTGACATTCCATTCTCCAGCTTCAGATCCTTCACTTTTCTTTTGCTTTAAATTTTCATATAATGGTTTTGCTTTTCCTCAAATCATATTATAGTCTTTAGGTAAGCCTTTCTTACAGCAATACTCTTTCCAAATAGCTATATTTTCAATATGAGTGAAAAGATATTTTACAAAAAATGCAAGGTCCTTGTGCCTTCTGGCGTAGCTACAGCATAGCTTTTAGAGTTTTCTTCTCTTATTCATTTTGTAAATAGTCTTTACCCTAGATTCCTTTATCTTGAAATGTGTGCAATGGCAGTAAGCTTCAGACCTCAAATGAGATACATATCAAAAAATTCAGCTTTTTCTTGTAACGTCATGACTTTGCTCAGCTTCTTAGGTGCAGTTACATTATCACTAGTGTCACTTCTTATAGGTCCCATGGTGTTATTTATAGTATTAGAGTATAGGACTAAACACAATAAAAAAAACATGAGAACCTCAAAAGATCACTCTTTACTGTGATAAGCATCTTATTAGGTAGACAAACTGCTCACAAGAGATATTTAGCATGGATGGCATTTTAAGCAGATACTGGCAACACTTGAGCTCACTGAAATAGCAATAGAAGGTGGTTACAAAATCATAACTGTCGTGCAGTATTGCTACAGTTAATTTTATGCAGTTGTAATTTACTACTGCACCTTTACATTTGTTTACATATCTCTGGACTGAAAATGGCACAATGGACACTCTGGGTTTGTATGTATACTTTTTGATAAATTTTAATGTTTCCTAATTTTAACTTTTTAGATTTGCATATACTTTATTGCAGTATATAATAAAACAAACTAGTATCTACATACGTTTTATTCATTCATGACGTACCTAACTTTTTCTTAATTTTTAAAATGTTTTAGGCCGCATGATTTGAGTTTTTTACATTGTCACAATTCTCAAAAACTATTTCTGACATATTTATTGAAAAATCTATGTATAAGTGGACCTATGCAATTCTAAGTCATGTTGCTCAAGGGTGAACTGATATGCTACAGAAGAGTCAACTCTCCTTATCTCACACTATCACTACAAAGTTTGTAAATCAGGATAATGAATATTAGAAATCAGTTTTCATTTTAAAAATGCATGGCGGTACAGTAATTAGTAAAACTGAAATATATAAGGTGTACATATACCTTTACATGACAATGGGATAAAAATCTAAAAAGGCTATCACCCATTACCCTTGATCCCCAAATGGCTTGCATCACCCTGCCATTGCAGTGTGACACTGGTTTGGAGGATTCTTTTTCCACCTGACTATGACAGATAGCTGAATCTGGCCATGGAAAATTCTCACAAGCTTTCATGAAAGGTGTTTTTAAGGCACCAAATATGACAGAGAGCTGGCCACATACCAAATTATAAAATAGGTTTTAAAAATGTGTCTATTTTAATAAATGTCTGTAGGAAAGATACAATTCAGTCTGAAACTGTATTTAAGTAAAAACCAGATGACAAGATTTCTCTCAATCAACAAATCCAAGAGAGACAAACAACTTCTATCAGAAATGACTTCATTCCAGATAAACTTAAAAACATATCAAACTTGCTTTACTTTGAAGTCAAACCATAATATTTCTTTTTTATTAGTTATCTATGTATAATCATTAACTAGATATAGATAATTAAAAATCAAAACTCTCAAGTGATTTAAGAGTCTTTTTGACAGAGAAATATATGTACCCATGAATATCATAGAAAATACATGCCCCCTTCCAAACAAATAATTCAGAAAGAAAATTCAGATTGCATCTATACTCTTGAAAATCATGGAAGTTCTCACAAAATCACAAAATTCTGGCTATATATTACATTATAAGTAATCTAGCTTAATTTTCTATCTTTTCAGTTGATAAATTTGGGTTTCATGAAGGTGGTGGAGTTTCAAGGGAGAGAAGAAATTAATACTTAGGATTTGCAGGAAGTGATACATGGCAGAAAGGTAGGGAAAGGCAAGGGAACATTTGTTTGAATGCCAAAATACTGCATTGAGTAAACCATGATTAAGTCGATAGACAAAGGAGATCAACTAGAGCCTCTTGCCAATCTTTCATCTCAATCTATTCTGATACTTAAAAAATACTTTCTAGAGTATTATACTTAAAAGTAAAATGGAGTAAAACTCAATACTAAGAAAACAAAGTGTGCAAAAGAATAGGCACTTTAAGAAAATATATAGATGGCAGAGAAGCATATAAAAATGCCCAACACTATTTGTCATTAGAAAAATTGAAATTAAAACCAAAGTGAGATATCACTATACAACTATTAGAATGTCTAAATTGTTGACAACAGCAAATGCTCATCAGGATGTAGAGTAACATGGACTCTCATTCATTGTGATGAGAATGCATGATGGTACAATTACGTTAGAGACAGTGTAAAAGTTTCTTATAGAGTTGAACTATATTACGCATAGTATTCAATGTAGCAATCCCTATATTTGGTGTTTCTCCAAGCAAGTTGAAAAAGCATGTTCACATAAAAATATGTATGTGAATATTTATAGCTTATAGGACCTTTATTCTTAATAGCCACAAGTTGGTAAAAACTAAGATGTTCTTTAACAGTTGAGTGAATAAACAAACTGTGATACAATCATGCAGTGGAACACTTCTAAACAATAAAAGAGAACAACTTGTTGATTTGCTACCACATGAATAAATCTTAATAAGATTTTGTTAAGTGAAAGAAGCCAGGTCCAAGAAGAACAGAACCCATATGCACAGAAAAAAATCAGTGATTGCCAGTGATTAAGGGAGGAGAGAAGTGGTGACTAAAACAAGCTGTGCAGAGAAAATTTCAGAGCGATGTAACTGTTCTCTATGTTACTAGAGTTGTGGATAACTGATGGTATGCATTTGTCAAACTCCTATAAAATGTACATCACAAAGAATGAAATTCAATATGTGTACATGAAAATCACAATCAACTGGATTTGGGAGTCCAAGGATAGACTGTAGACTGAAGAAAATGATATAATTTTATTACAAATGTATGATGCAACCTCACTGTAGGTGGTAGGAAAAATAAGAACTGACTTAAGTAACTTTGTAGGATGATGTTTTGAGAGGAAACTGTAAGAATATAGAGAAAAATAACCGTACATAAATACTACTTTAGTAAGTTTATTTCTCCTAAGGGTATGGCTTATCACCTTGAAAATATGTCGCAAGTATAGTAGGGTTTAACAAAATAAATAAATTATAGTTAATGGGAGGCTGGTTTCTCACTCTCAGATAAAGAAGCTATAAATAAACAAAAGGGTAAAACAACAATGAACGTCTTAGTGTGCTGGATTAGAATCTGAGATATCAGTGTGAACTAATGTTTATTTTAATATACACAGATAGATACAGATATAATTATAGATACATGTTTATGCATGGATTATTATTTATATATACATTTTTAGCCCTGTTCGTTACAGGGCCTAGAAGCAGCAATAGTCCAGCAGCATCAACACACCGGGAACACAGATTTGGGTTTCTAATACTATTCTTCAATAAGGGAATGAAAGCTCTTTAAAATATGGCTGATTCCAGGACTTGAGCAAGATAAATCGAACATGATCCTGTGACAACTCATAGTGTCAAAGAAAGTTTGGGGTATGGGAAAGGGAAATAGGAGCCAACCTGAAAGAAGCTCCAGTGGCCAAGCTGAAAGAAAAAGCAAAAACAAAACAAAACAAAACAACGAAAGGGAATAATAGATTATAGCCTGAAGTGGAAACATATGTTCATACTTACATAAATAAATTATTTAATGAATGAATAAATAAAGAGGATAGAAATTTATAATTTTTAAAGAAATTTGTACTCCAGGAGATGGAGCTTAATTCCTTTCCCATTGAGTGTGGTCTGGATTTAGTGACTTAGAACATAGTTTGGAACAGTAAAAATAGAAACTTTACACAAGAGAAACTTGGAAGGTTTTAACCAAGTGATCAAGTTTTATGCTATAGTGATAAGTCAAACTGATATAATGTACCTTCAGATATGATCAAAAGAGAAGCATAATTCATCACATAAGTATTTTTTTTCAAAAATCTGGAACTCCAGTCTGATGGTGAAAAAACATCTGACAAATCCACATTGAATACTTGACCATGACTTTAAAAAACTCTTAAGATCACAAAAAAAAAACTTGAAAAATATCACAATTAGTAGAGACCAAGGAGAAGATTAAATCTTATGTGATATCCCAGATTGGACCCCAGAATAGAAAAATGACATTAGTGGAAACTAATGAAATACAAATAAAGTCTGTAATTTAGATAAAAGAGAAGTACCGATGTTAATCTCTTATTATTACAAATGTGTCATGGCTTTGTTAAGATTAGGGGAAATGGTGAAAGGTATATTGGAATTTATACTATCTTTATAATAGTTATATAAATTTAAAAGTAGTCCAAATAAATGTGTGTTAAAAGTAGAACAGAGAAGGTTATGGTGATTGAGATAGGGGAGGGGTTTGTTTGGAATAGTTATGTGAAAGGTAAAGATTCAAAAGTAATTTGAGATCTAATTTCAATTACCATTTACATCATTTCTTCCTCTGACTCAGAACTGCTACTACTGATCTAATCCTGCTTGTCACAGCAGATGGCCAGGTTTTTGAATACAGATTAAAAAAATTATTATTCTATAGTTCTTTCTGAATTGGTGCTATTTTTGCTTAGTAGATTTTATAGATTTATAGATTCTTCCATTAAAAGATGTATTTATTTATTTAACTGGTTAAGACGAAAATTGGCAAACCTTGCAATTCTGTTAGATAGTCCAATTTGTTCTTTTATCTGTTAACCAATACAGTTGGATTAATTCAGCCAGTCATACCATAGCAACATAACATTAAGTGTGGAGATAGAGCCATACATCACAGTTCTATCCCTGCAATTCTCTTTTTAAATTTATTTAGTTTTCCCTTCTGGCTCTGCACCATCTCACTCTGGCTGAATACATGGTATGTTTTGTTTAATGTGTACTTCGCAGATGTTTCCTTACATTGGCCTGAGGAGGTACAGATGTCTAACTCTGCCTATTTCCAACATAGCAAAAATATTCAGAATACTTTTGTCTGCTGTTTTTCTGCAAAATTCTTAGTTAACACTTATTGAACCTAACCACTCACTTTTGAAGATGAAAATATATATCATGGTAGTTAAGAGGAAATTGAAAAATTAGGTTTGAATTGTAGCAAACTAATTGGATGTTGAATTGTACTGACCACATATGAGGAAAGCCAGCATATTCACTGCTACAGATTAAACTATAAATAAGAAGCAAAATTTGC